>NC_000001.11:240578060-240729576 GCF_000001405.40 Homo sapiens | reverse complement strand
AGAATTGATTGCTGGCCCAGTAGTGTCAGAACACACCCAGGGCTTTCAGCTGCAGTCGGGCCTCTGCACCCAAGTCTTGATGGCATCGTAATTAGGTCACCTGCGGCCTAACCTGGGGGACGATGACTCCGCCAGCCTGCCAGGGATGGTTTCAACAGCAGGACTGCATGGCAACAACAGCCACAGCAGTGAAAGCACTGACATTGCTCCAATAAGATGGGCAACGCCCAGGGCTGACCCTTTAAAAATACCCATGTAAGTAGATGCAGGTTTCATTTTATGCCTAAAGTGGGTGAACGGGATTATAGTTAGAATCCTGCAAGGTGTCTGTTAAAAAATCAATTACTTTGATATATCACCTCTCTGAACTTTTTTTTTTTTTGACACAGAGTTTCGCTTTTGTTGTCCAGGCTGGAGTTAAATGGTGTGATCTGAGCTCACCGCAACCTCTGCCTCCTGGATTCAAGCTATTCTCCTGCCTCAGCCTCCTGAGTAGCTGGGATTACAGGCATGTGCCACCGTGCCCGGCTAATTTTGTATTTTTAGTAGAGATGCGGTTTCTCCATGTTGATCAGGCTGGTCTGGAACACCTGACCTCGTGATCTGCCCGCTTCGGCCTCCCAAAGTGCTGCGATTACAGGCGTGAGCCACTGTGCCCGGCCACCTCTCTGAACTTTCTGTGTCCATATGCTCTCTCAGAAGAGCTATAGTTGAGAAGGTTTTCAACTCCAATCACCATTTATCTTCCAACTTGGGTGGGGAATAGGAATTAAAACCTCAGGGGCCGAAGTTTTTCACTCTAATAACTTTTCAGGAGAGGGGAATAGAAGTATAAAATATATTTCTTCAGATGTATTTGTCTTCCTTGGAGATTTTTTAAAAATGATTTTCATTCTTTTAAAGTACCAGGGATATTCCTTTATTCTTGGGGCATGCATGTCTGACCCTGGCCCTGACTAAATGCTGGTAAAAGATACTTTGAAGAAAGCAAGATAAATTGAAAAAGTCCCTTGTGGTGTAATCCCTTTTTCCCCTTTACAATGACAGTACAGTATAAATGAGATGGTCTGGATCTTTGTAGATGGTTTGTCTTATTTATTTTCCCACTTCTCCCCAGTTTTCTCTGCTTTCTGCAAAGGACCATAACACATTTTTTTTTTTTTACCTTGTGTCTCCTTCTTCATGCTTCATTTTATACATTCTAAGTTTTTTTAATTCCTATTTTTGCTAGCTAATATTTAAGATTTGCAGAATCAAGGCAGCTTGAGTCTTATCCTGTTTTATATCCTTTGATAAGGAAAGTAAATGTATCGTGCCACTGCACTCCAGCCTGGCGACAGCAGAGTGAGACTCCGTCTCAAAAAAAAAAAAAAATTAGTGAATAAGCTTGAACTGAGCACTTCTTCTCTTCTCTTTGTTTCATTCTTAGGTGATCTACTTCATCAAGTTTCCTGGCTTTTTTCTTTTCTTTTCTTTTCTCTTTTCTTTTCTGCTTTTTCTTTTGAGACAGTGTCTTGCTCTGTTGCCCAGGCTGGAGTGCAGTGGCGGCATCGCGGCCCACAGCAGCCTCAACCATATGGGCTCAAGCAATCCTCCCACCTCAGCCTCCTGAGTAGCTGCGACCACAGGTACGTGCCACCACACCTGGCTAATCTTTTTTTAATTTTTTCTTTAAAGACAGGAACTTGTTATTTTGTCCAGTCTGGTCTCAAACTCCTGGGCTTAAGCAATCCTCCTGCCTTGGCCTCCTAAAGTGCTGGGATTACAGACATGAGCCACTACGCCCAGCCAAGTTTCCTGGTGTTCATTTGAAGTGTATATTTGAGCTACACATGGTGGTGTATTCCTGTAGTCCTAGCTACTCAGGAGGCTGAGGTGGGAGGATTGCTTGTGCCCAGGAGTTCCAAGTATAGCCTGGACAGCATAGTGAGGCCCCATCTTTAAAAAAAAAAAAATTTATATCCAATAACAGTCAAATATATGAATTCCTGGTTAAACTCCCCAGACAGACTCCCAGCCCTAAATCCCAATCTCAGCCATCTATGTGGATGTCTAACATAGCCAAAATCCATACTCTTGATTCCCATAGGGCAACACCTGCACCATGTTGACCTTGCAGTTATCAGAATCCATCATTTAGGCGAAGGCTTAAACCACAGCTAAATCTGAGTTTTGGCAGATGCCTTGTGATTTCCCCAGAACACACGAGGATGGAAGGTCTACAAGTTACAGCTATGAGACCATCCCTCACTTGCCTCCTTGTCTTCCCTTGGATGCTATCGGGAGATAAATTCTCATCGGCTCTCTAGTTCTGATGAAATGTGGGGCGTCCTGACAACCACCCTCAGTAGAGAGCCGCAGAGGCTACTGTACTATAGTCAAGAATTGGCTCCTCAGCAACAAGGAGGCAGCATTCCTGCTGCCGTCACTGAGCCCTTTTTGTTTCAGATCATTATTTTGGTGTGTGAGACAAGAATCAGAGGGAACTGGTCTCTTTCACTTACTCCTCTGTTCACTACCTGTGTATGTAACAAGCTGTGCAAAAGTGTGTCACCGTATCTTTACCAGGAAGATCAGCCAAATCAAGGCCTTGACCTTGGCCAGCCTTGGGCTTATGACCTTGACAACTCTCCCCACAGCCTGCCTCCTTCTTCTGCAGTCTTCTCCATCTCAGTACATTGCAACACCAGCATTCAGAGCCCAGAAGTTTGGAGCCATCTTTGCTTCCTCCTTTTCGCACCCGATCCATACTTTCCAATATATCCTAAATCCTATTGACTCAAATTCCAAAACAAACCCAGAACTGGACCACTTCTCACCATCTCCAGTCCAATTCCCCACTGCAGGCATCTGTTTCTCTCCCAGGGAAGATTGCATGAGCTTCCTATGTGATCTCCCAGCTTACTCCTCCTTCCGCTTCGGTCTGTTCTCCACACACCTTCCAAGGTGATTCTTTTAAAAAGTGTCAGAGCATGCTATCTTTGCCCTGTTCACATCCGTCCATCTTCACATTCTATCAAAAATCTCTATGGGATTCGGCTCTGTCCTCTCTGATCTCAGCAACCACTGTTCTGTACCTTGTAATTTCCTGATGGGTTCTTCCTGCCTGCTGCACGGACAAAACCAGTTCACCAAAGACCATGGTATTTCAGTAAAGAAAGAGTTTAATTGGCATGAAGCTGGCTCTGTGAGAAATGGCATTACTACTCAAATCAGTCTCCCTGAAGCCTTGGAGGTTAGGTTTTTTTGAAGGATAGTTTAGTGGGTGGGGACAAGGGAATGGGTGCTGCTGATTGGTCAGGGATGCAGTTGTCGGGGTGTGGGAAACGGTCCTTGTGCACTGAGTCCGCCTCTGGCTGGGGAGTCCACAGGACCGGTTGAGTCATCAGTCAAGGGTCTGGGTGGAGTCTCTCAGTTGCTAGAATGGAAAAGTCTGAAATACATCTCGAGAGACCAATCTTAGGTTCTACAATAGTGATGTTATCTACAGGAGCAATTGGAGGGGTCACAAATCTTGTGACTTCTGGCCACATGACTCCTGAGCAGTAAGAGATTACAAAAACTATGCCTGCATTGGCCAGGGGTGGTGGCTCACGCCTGTAATCCCAGCACTTTGGGAGGCCAAGGCAGGCAGATCATGAGGTCAGGAGTTCAAGACCAGCCTGACCAACGTGGTGAAACCCCGTCTCTACTAAAAATACAAAAAAAAAAGAAAAAAAAATAGCTGGGCATGGTTGCACGCACCTGTAATCTCAGCTACTCAGGAGGCTGAGGCAGGAGAATCACTTAAACCTGGGAGGCAGAGGTTGCAGTGAGTCGAGATCGTGCCACTGCACTCCAGCCTGGTGACAGAGCAAGACTCCATCAAAAAAACAAAACAAAACAGAACAAAAAACTATGCCTGCATTTTAGCAGAACTTAGATTCCTCCCATAATCCTCATCTCCTGGTCTTTGATTAGTTTTACAAAGGCAGTTTAGTTTGGGGAAGGGCTATCATCATCCTTACTTTAAGGTTAAACTATAAACTAAATTCTTCCCAAAGTTAGCTTGGCCTACACCCAGAAATGACCAAGGACAGCTGAGAGGTTTGAAGCAAGATTGACAACTATGTCAGATTTCTCTTACTGTCTTAATTTTGCAAAGGCAGTTTCATCCTCTTCTCTCCTTCCTCCTTCTCAGAAGGCATATTCTCACCTTACAACTGTAACAGTGCTTATGCCTGGAACAGTTGCCCTCAGATGCTAGGACAGCCGCCCCTCCATGCTTCTACTCAAGTATCCCCCTTATTAGTGAGGCCTTCCTTGTCTGCTGCACAGCGGGCCCCTGCCCTCTGCCCTTGCATTTAATTTCCTTCTTTCCCTGTTTTTTCTCTACAAGAACTATCATATGCTATAGAATTTATTTATTGTCCAATTGTTAATTATTAGACTATTTTATTTATTTGGAAACAGGATCTCGTTCTGTCTCCCAGGCTGCAGTGCAGTGGCACAATCTTGGCTCACTGCAGCCTCCACCTTACTGGCTCAAGCAATCCTCCCACCTCAGCCTCCCTAGTAGCTGGGACTATAGGTGCACACCACTGAGCCCAGCTAAATTTTATTTTTTAACTTTTTGTAGAGATGGAATCTCACTATGTTGCCCAGGCTGGTCTCAAACGCCTGGGCTTAAGCAATCCTCCTGCCTTGGCCTCCCAAAGTGCTGGAATTACAGGTGTGAGCCACTGTGCCTGGCCTTGATTCTCAATAGAACGTAAAATCCATGAAGCCAAAGGGTTCTTCTGCTCTGTTTCTCTTGCACCTGAAACAGTGCCTGGCACCTAGTTAAGTGCTCAACTAATATTTCCTGAAAGTATGAGCCACAAAAAAGTGTCAAGCATTCTTCAATGAAACAATGGAACCCAATGTTTACTACATTATAAATGTGTGAAGTTGAATCAATCTGTCTTGGACTTATGAATGAATTTCCCTACTTTGAAAGGATAATATCTCAATACTTACTTGCTGTATGTTTTATAATGACAACTAAACTTAATTAATATTTGGTAAGTATATAAAATAGATAGTATATCAATGTAGTAGAACACAGTATACGACCTTGAATTAAGTATCATCCCTGATTACAGGGAGTTCAAAATCCATTAGAGGAAACAGATCCAGACATAAATAGTTCCATTTTAAATATATTTAACAAATATGTTGTGTTTGACCATTAGAGGGTGAACATTAATTATCCACTTCGTCAATTGCTGGTGTGCGCCGAGCACTCTGTAAATAGTAGCTGATGTGATGGTTGTTTATCATGAAAGAACAAGTGAACCGTTCTGAATGGTGAGAAAAGAAGTCTTGTGAGACTTTTCGAGCCAGTCTTCATAGGGTAAGCAGATACTTGCTGTTGGAAAAGCAGAGGAAGAAATTGCAGGTTCCACTGCCCAGCCACGCTGCCTGAGGCCATCGGGTGTGTGGCGAGCGGGGAAATAGCTGTCTCAACTGGGGATGAGCAAAAGTGGGAGATCAGAAACAAAGGCTGGGCCAGGCACGGTGGCTCACACTGTTGCACTCCAGCCTGGGCAACAAGAGTGAAACTCTGTCTCAAGGAAAAAAAAAAAAAAAAAACATAGGCCGGGAGGGGTGGCTCACACCTGTAATACCAGCACTTTGGTAGGTCAAGGTGGGCAGATCATCTGAGGTCAGGAGTTCAAGACCAGCCTGGTCAACATGGTGAAACCCTGTCTCTGCTAAAAATACAAAAATTAGCCAGGCTTGGTGGCATGCGCCTGCATTCCCAGCTACTCAGGAGGTTGAGACAGGAGAATAGCTTGAACCCAGGAGGCAGAGATTGCAGTGAGCCGAGATGGTGCCACTGCACTCCAGCCTGGGCGACAAGGGCGAAACTCTGAAACTCTGTCTCCAAAAAAAAAAAACAAAACCACTTTGCTTTAAGAAAGGTAGGATTTGGGGATGCTATGGCTTCAAAAAAAATCACATGTACTAAAAATAAGGGTAAAATTATATCAATGGATGATCTGTGTTACTCACATAATACAAGTTTCCACTGAGTGAGAAAATATCATCTTTCTTTAATTCCATTTCCCTTGAAAATAGTGGTTTCCATTAAAAGGAGGAAAAAAACTTGAAAAACTTAAGCTTCAGGAAATAGGATTTTTTAAAGAAAATCAAAATATACAAAGTAGTTTGGTGAAATCAAACCACTATCAGATTTCTTTTTTTTCCCCCAGAAACAGATTTGATAGTTAATCTAATTGGCTATTAAATGTATTCCTTTTATAAAGCCCATTATGTCATACTCTGTTTCAAAGCTTTGGAAGAGAGATATAAATAGTATCTCATCCTAAGCAAAATTAAACTGGCATAATTTCATTTGGAAATAAATACCTAGAAAAACTTACAAACGTTCAAAAAAGTAAAATCTGTTAGTCTGACAAAATCGTCTACAGTGAAAAGGCAGCTTCGGGAAGGAAGATTACCTGCTGTCAAATTAGAAAATTACAATTAAACCATTGATATTTCCGTGAGAAGAGAAAACTAGTAACCGTGAAGAAGTGAGGGAAAACAAATGATGACGTCATGTTAACAATAGGAAAGACATGTCCTTTTGTAAAAGATGCTGTCACCCATCACAGACTATTTCTTCCAATATGGATTTGCAAAACATGACAGTCGAGCTCACCAAATCTCTCGTGGTTGCCGTGGGGCAGGGCGAGGTGGCCCACACCTGTAATCCCAGTACTTTGAGAGGCCAAGGAGGGAGGATTGCTTGAGCCCAGGAGGTCAAGGCTGTAATGAGCCATGATCATGCCTCTACACTCCAGCCAGGATGACAGAGCAAGAGCCTGTCTCTAAAAAAAAGAAAAAACAACATCTTAAGAGATGTTACATCTCTTAAGAATACATTCTGGCCGGGTGGAGGCAGTGGCTCACGCCTGTAATCCCAGCACTTTGGGAGGCCGAGGCGGGCGGATCACAAGGTCAAGAGATCGAGACCATCCTGGCTAACACGGTGAAACCCAGTCTCTACTAAAAATACAAAAAATTAGCCGGGCGTGGTGGCAGGCGCCTGTAGTCCCAGCTACTCTGGAGGCTGAGGCAGGAGAATGGCGTGAACCCAGGAGGCGGATCTTGCAGTGAGCGGAGATCACCCCACTGCACTCCAACCTGGACGACAGAGTGAGACTCCATCTCAAAAAAAAAAAAAAAAATACATTGTGGCTGAGCACGTTGGCTCATGACTGTAATCCCAGCACTGTGGGAGGCTGAGGCAGGCAGATCACCTGAGGTCAGGAGTTCGAGACCAGCCTGGCCAACACTAGCCAAACCTTGTCTCTACTAAAAATACAAAAATTGGCCAGGCATGGTGGTGCATGCCTATAGTCCCAGCTACTCGGGAAGCTGATGAACAAGAATCGCTTGAACCTGGGAGGTGGAGGTTGCAGTGAGTTGAGATTGTGCCATTGCACTCCAGCCTGGGCGACAGAGCAGGACTCTGTCTTAAAAAAAAAAAAAAAAATTCTAATATTGTCCAACTCTTTTTCTCTTTTTTTCTTGTCTTTTCTTTCTTTCTTTTCTTTTCTTTTTTTTTTTTTTTTGAAACAGGGTCTCATTCTGTTGCACAGGCTATCGTGCAGTAGCATGATCATGTCTCATTGCACCCTTGAACTCCTGGGCTCAAGCCATCTCCGGCCTCAGCCTACTAGGTAGCTGGGACTACAGGCATATGCCACCATGCTGGTTAATTTTTAAAACTTATTTTTGTGGAGACAGGGTCTTACCATGTTGCCTAGGCTGGCCTCAAGCTATTCTCCTGTCTTGACCTCCCAAAGTGTTGGGATTACAGGTGTGAGCCACCACACCTAGCTATTTTCCAACTCTTAATGTTAGGAATTCTACTGAAATGTTTACCATGATCTAGGGCTGCAAGCAAATCATTTCTTCATGCTCAGGCATTGAGAAGATAACAAAACCTTCCCACAACCTCCCCAAATTCTATGCCTTTATGTACACAACCCGTCTTCCCTCCAACCCAGTCTCCACAGAGATGCTCATGTCTGCCTTTCCTTACATCTTTATCATCATCATTGGTCTCCTCTGAACTGATTGTAATTCAATGTTTAGAAATTAATGCAATATTTATTGTATATTGCACTGAAGTACCATAGAAAACTAAACTGGCTGACATCAACTCCTTAAAGGAGACGATCACCCATAGTCAAGATATGCACCCATTGCAGGGAAGCCTGAAATGATTCATTCCAAATCATACAAAGAAGTGTATGTGTTGTAATTGCATAGTCATTTATTTATTTAAGTCTAAATGTAATTGTGTAACTAAATGCAATTAGATGCTCACGATTTACTAACACATAGCCACTTGGATCTGGGTTTAGAGAGAGAAAGTGACTCTGGAGTCTAAAGAACCAAAAATGTGTGTGTGTGCTCATGTAATCTACGTGTTAAGTATTTGTGTGCTGCAAAGAGGACTCCTACGTCTTGTTGAGAGGGCCAAATGACTCTAACAAACAAAATTTTGATGAGTTAAGTGTAAATGAATCAGAAACATACGGATTACATTTTCGTTAATGCACAGGGATTTAAAAATTAAGGGAAAAATATTTGGCAAAGCTAATTTTGGCTTTTGCCAAACCCAAAGCTTTGGAAAAATAGTTGGAGACATTCAATGATCCAACTAAAGAAAACGCGGCCCACTTCCCCTCTCCTTTTTATAAAATCTTTATTTGTTCACACACATGGCATCAGAAAAGTTCGTTTCTGTTGGAGACGACGCCTGCTTCTAAACAAGACTGTGAGAAAATCCCTTGTTTATTAGTGAACTTGCCAGGCATTTATGTTTATGGAGCATAATTAATTCGCGAATCTTCTGAAGATGTATCACTCTTCCTCAGCCTTCCGGAGAGAAAGGACATCCGCTTCTGCCTGGGCACTACTGTCTGCCTGTCTCTACATCATAAATATATTTCCAAAGGATTCTCAATAGAAAGTATCTTCTCTTAATTCCTTCCAGATGTTGTTCTTAGTAGGGATGATTCTTCTGACTGTCTCCTAAATCCTGCTGGGTAATTCTGCACGTGGTCATGGTTAACACAAGCATGTGACGAATCCCAGATGTGGAAGTAATCAAAGTGATCCACAGATCTAAGGCAATACTCCAGAGAACAAATGAGGGGTATTGTGAGGTCAAAGCAATTAAGGAGGGTCACACTGGAAAGCCTGGGAGTTATGGAGTAGGGGAAAGAGTGAGCAGGGGGTCTGGGGAAAGAATGGAAATCCCTCATAGTTTAGAGTTATCGCTTCTGTCTCAGAAAACAGGGATAGGTAAGAGAGGACGAATATGAAAACCCCTTATAATTTAGTTATTGTTATGTGGACAGATATTCTGCTTTTCTGTGTGTCCTGAAGGCAGAGGATGACTAATTTTCTGTCCTTTATCCATAAAATTGTGCTGGATGTGATTGTTTGATTGAAACCATTAGACCATGGTGTCAAAGACAGATAAAAGAGAAAGACCTAAGATAGTCATAGAAAGTTAATAGAAACAAAATCTGGCTTACATATGGTGGAGAGAAACACAGCAGGACTGTCTAGGTGGTGTGGAATGGCAGAAAGTGCATTTGCAATGGGAAAACCTTGAACACAAATGCCAGCAACATCTATGGCTGGAGACACAGGGAACGATTCATTTTTTTGACTTGTAAAACGATGGTAATACCACCTATCTTAGAGGTTTGGATTGAAGGAAAATAAGCTTTATTTTAAATATTTTTTTAGCAAGAAGTGTCAGAATAGAACTGAATTTGGGAGACTTTAGTGGGGAGAAATGAAGTTGTTGTGAGTATTTTATTTAATTTTGCCCTTCTTTTTTTTTTTTTTTTTTTTGAGACGGAGTCTCGCTCTGTCGCCAGGCTGGAGTGCAGTGGCACACTCTCGGCTCACTGCAATCTCTGCCTCCTGGGTTCAAGTGATTCTCTTGCCTCAGCCTCCTGAGTAGCTGGGATTACAGGCATGCACCACCACACCCAGCTAATTTTTGTATTTTTAGTAGAGATGGGGTTTCACCACGTTGGAAAGGATGGTCTCAATCTCCTGGCCTCATGATCTGCCCACCTTGGCCTCCCAAAGTGCTGGGATTACAGGCGTGAGCCACCCCATCAGGTCTTAATTTTATCCTTCTTAAATGAATATGTTGTGCTTTTTTATTATAGAAGTAATACACAAAGTCACATATTCATTCAATTCAAACAATATAGAAGTATATGAAATACATGAATATAGTCCCCCTTCTACTTTCTAGTTCTCTCTTAGCAAGCAAAGTTAATGGTTTGATATGCATCCTTCCCTACTTTTTCCTAGATTTATGTACGTATATTCATGTTATAGGGATTTTTTAAAAAGGAAAGTGGGATCATATAATAAATAGATAAATCATCCTGCAATCTGCTTTTCTTTCACTTAATACAGCAGGAGCAAAAGGCATTTTAACTTTATTACAATGTTTGAGAACTGTGCATTCTTTATGAACATAGCTGCAAACATCAGGATTCTTAGGTACTATAATAAAAATGTGAGTATAATTTAATGAAAAACACAACGATGGTTCAATATTATTTAATATATGCCTATTTCCCATCACATCAATAAATCAAAGCAGACAAATCATATGCTCACTTTGAAAGATGAAAAAACTCTTTAGATTAAATTCAATATCTATTCATAATTCTAAAATATATCTTCATAAACCATAACAAAAGCATATTTTCTTAATATGATAAAGCATTAAGAAATTAAATAATAGCCAAGCTCACATGGAATAGTAAAAGCAATAGAGCCAACCTAAGTGCATAAGGAAGAATACAAGAGTTCTTGATATTACTACCTTAATATTTTACTGAAAATCACGTCATAATACAATGAGAAAAAAATGAAAATATTTGTATACAAAAGGAAGTGAAGGGAGGGAGGGAGGAAGGGAGGGAGGAGAGAGAGAGAGAGAGAAAGAAAAAGAAAAGAAAGAAAGAAAGAAAAATAATGTAAATTTAAATCTATATTAAATATATGGGTTATATCTAACTGTTATATAATCATAATTTGAAATATATGCCTATGTTATATCAGAAGTCTATCAATGAAATGTTATTTCGAGATGTCGGGATTACACAGTGCCTTTTTCTTTTTGTTTTTCTATTTCACAGAAGTCTTCTATAATGACTATATATTATTTTCAAAATCAGCTAAATAGGCCAAGTTCAGTGGCTCATCCCTGTAATCCCAGCACTTTGGGAGGCGGAGGCAGGCAGATCACCCGAGGTCAGGAGTTCAAGACCAGCCTGGCCAACATGGTAAAACCCTGTCTCTACTAAAAATACAAAAATTAGCTGGACATGGTGACACCCAGCTGTAATCCCAGCTACTGGGGAGGCTGGTAGGCAGGAGAATCACTTAAACCCAGGAGGCAGAGGTTGCAGTGAGCTGAGATGGGGCTACTGCATTCCAGCCTTGGCAACAGAGAGAGTTTCCCTCAGAAAACAAACAAACAAACAAAAACAAACAAACAAACAAAAACTAGTTAATTAAATATATTAATAAATTTTATTTAAAAATAAACTTTTTGGCTGGGCGTGGTGGCTCACACCTGTAATCCCAGCACTTTGGGAGGCTGAGGTGGGCGGATCATGAGTTCAGGAGATTGAGACCACCCTGGCTAACACAGTGAAACCCCTTCTCCACTAAAAAATACAAAAAATTAGCCTGGCATGGTGGCAGGCACCTGTCATCCCAGCTACTCGGGAGGCTGAGGCAGGAAAACAGCGTGAACCCAGGAGGCAGAGCTTGCAGTGAGCTGAGATCGCACCACTGCACTCCAGCCTGGACAACAGAGCAAGACTCCATCTCAAAAAATAAATAAATAAATAAATAAATAAATAAACTTTTTGTATTACACGAGAACACCAGTTCAGATTGAGTTACTCCAAGGTACATTTTTATTTTGGACTGAATTTTAAACCCAAGTCCAATTTTCAGAGTTTATGCAAACCTCCCTCCATTTCCCCTCTGCACTCACACATTGCATCCAGCTGTATGAGTTGGTGATGAGCATCAATCTTTTGACAGAATCTCAGGGGACACATAAAATTTCCTGTTTTCTCTTAATTTAATTTTTGCTCCATTCTCCAACTTTCTCAAGGAAAAAAGTTGGTCTTCTCCAGGTTTATGGACTCTGTTTACCTACTTCTGGCAAGGCAAAATGCCACAATGTTTCTGGAGGTTTGGCAACATAAATCAAAAAGCTATTTCATAGAGTTGATGGGGAAGAAGAGGAAAAGAAGAATATATGCAGTTGCTATGGTAACAGGTAGGACCACATCTCTTACGCACCTCCTCCTCCATACTCCATAATTAGTTTTACCTTGAGGCCATTAAATGGAAGCTTGCTCCTCACAACCAGCTTTTAGAAAAAGCGAATTCTGGCCGGCATGGTGGCTCACGCCTGTAATCCCAGCACTTTAGGAGTCTGAGGCGGGCAGAGTACCTGAGATCAGGATTTCAAAACCAGCCTGGCTAACATGTTGAAACCCTGTCTCTACTAAAAATACAAAAATTAGCCAGGCGTGGTGGCTCATACCTGTAATCCCAGCTACTCAGGAGGCTGAGGTGGGAGAATCACTTGAACCCCAGAGACGGAGGTTGCAGTGAGCCAAGATCACGCCATTGCACTCCAGCCTGAGCAACAAGAGCGAAAATGTTGAGAGAAAGAATGAAAGAAAGAAAAAGAAAGAAAGAAAAGGAAGGAAGGAAGGAAGGAAGGAAAGAAAGGGAGGGAAGGAAGGAGAGAAAGGGAGGGAAGGAAGGAAGGAGAGAGAGAAAGAGAAAGAAAGAGAAAGAAAGAAAGAAAGAGAAAAAGCTAAAGGGAGGAGTTAAAGAATCTGCCTTACAACTTTAAACACTTATTAAGTAAACGCTGAATTGAGCATCTGAAAATAAGCTTCTTTCTCTCCTGGAGAGCAAAGTGCTTCAAGTTTTGAAATATATTAATGTTTTGTATTTGCATAAAAATCTTACATCCCAAAGCAGTCTGCATTTCAGAAACTCTTTTTTTGGAAATGCCAAGTTGAATTTGGCATCAGTTTAATAATATGCAGAGACAGCGAAGAATAGTAATAATAATGCTTGCCTGGTCACACAGCAGAATGTGAGGAGATTAGGAAAGACTGCAGTGTTTTCTTCCCCTCAGGAAAACAGAACTAAATTCTCATTAGAGTCAGGAGATGAGTGAAGTCTTGCAATTTCAGAAAGATTTCAATGATTCCCCCAGTAACCCTATCGACACCTGGCTGGAGGGGAGAATTCCAGGGATGATGACATCAACTTGAAGAATCTCGGAAGGTTGAAGCTGAAAAGGACACTTCCCTATAGGCTAATCCTATAAGACTAATCCTGTATTTTCCAGAATGAGAAACTGATCCCCAGAGAGGTGATGTGAATTGCCCACTGCCACCCGATGAACTGATCACCAAGTGAGCTCTTGAACACAAGTCTCTATATTTTCAGAAGTGCTGCATCTTAAACTGGCCTCCTTCTCATCCCTCTTTCACTCCTGGGCTGTGTTACTGCTAGAGTAATCACAGTGTGGCAGACAATGGGCTACCCTGGCAGCCTTTATTTCATTTAATTCTCACTGCAGTACTATGAGGTATGGTTTTCGCCTCTTTCACAGATGAGGAAACAGAGCCTCAGAGATGTGAAGTAATTTAGACACAATCTGGAAGCCAATTGTATTCAACTTCGAGGCCTATGATCCCAAGTATTCCTGTTGGCAGAGAGCAATTCCATCAGGCCTCCTCCCCGTTTGCCTGTTATTTACCCATTGGGTTATCTGGAATAAGGTTTTTTGTAAAAGGTACTTACAATCACAGCCCCGTGTTTGGGAAGCGAAACTTAGTTCTCACTCCTTTACCTCTTTTTCTTTTTCTTTTTCTTGAGACGAAGTCTTACTCTGTCACCACTGGACAGAGTAAGACTGCTGGAGTACAGTGGCTCGATCTCGTCCCCTGCAACCTCCTCCTCCCAGGTTCATGCGATTCTCCTGCCTCAGACTCCCGAGTAGCTGGGATTACAGGCATGCGCCACCGTACCCAGATAAGTTTTGTATTTTTAGTAGAGATGGGGTTTCACCATGTTGTCCAGGCTGGTCTCAAACTCCTGACCTCAGGTGATCTGCCCACCTCGGCCTCCCAATGTGCTGGGATTACAGACGTGAGCCACCACGCCCGGCCTATACCTCTTTTTCTACCTACACATTTTGTAGGGCACATGGCAATATTTCCCTCTGTATCTAAAAAGTGAATAAGCCTAGTTCACATATATATCATTGAGATTTTCAAACTCTTTTTTACTGGGTGTCTGTTGCATATCACAGAATTTTATTATATTGTCTGTAATCTGTATCATAATCTTGAAAGTTAGAGATGACATCATTTGCTTATTTTGTGTCTTCCCTTCTCCAGTGTACTTAGTTCAGTTACAAGTGCCTCATAGAGGCTGAATATCACGTGATGGGTTTAATTGAATTGGCATCAGTTTCCCCGGAGACCACAGAGCACTTGCATAAATCTAAAATATCTGGATCCCACCACTGATCACTGGCTTCAATGGCAAAAGAAGGGGAGAATGAAGGTCCAACTGAAATATGCAAAGTGCCATCTCCAAGCAGCAGGTGCAATTTCTACCCGGCTCTGTGGTGTTTAGCAGCTGTGGAATCTGCCATCCGTCACCTTGGAGCCAACACTCGCCCCTCCAGGGCTGAAATATTGGCTTCCCCTTGTGTGCTTGTCTCCTACATAGAGACGGCCTTGCTTCTGTCAGCCTCCCCTTGGCAATAGGCTTGGAGCCTGCCTGCTGTGCTTGGAATTGATGTGACTCTGGTCCCAAAACCAAGATGCAAAGTCTTTTATGGCCAACTTTAGAGAAAGGAGTGAATAGGATAGAGGGGGAGAATGCAGAGGCAAAGGGAGAAGAAAGACATGTTGAAAGGTGAACAAGACAAGGCCGGGCGCGATGGCTTACGCCTGTAATCCCAGCACTTTGGGAGGCTGAGGCAGGAGGATCACGAGATCAGGAGTTCAAGATCAGCCTGACCAACATGGTGAAACCTTGTCTCTACTAAAAATACAAAAATTAGCCGGGCGTGGTGGCACATGCCTGTAATCCCAGCTACTCAGAAGGCTGAAGCAGGAGAATCACTGGAACCTGGGAGGCGGAGGTTGCAGTGAGCCAAGATCGCACCACTGCACTACAGCCTGGGCGACAGAGCAAGATTCTGTCTCAGCAAAAAAAAAAAAAAAAGAAAAGAAAAAAGAAAGGTGAACAAGACATAAATAATTCCATTAACAAAGGCTTTGGGGAAAATTATTTCTCTGTTAGCCTTGAAACACAAAAGCAGGGGCTCTGAGGGTAGCTGGCCCCTGAGAAACTGAGGCCTATTGCTCTGTTCATTCCCCTTTCTGTGTTTTGCTTAAAGCAGTGAGGAGTATGAAACAAGGAGGAAAGCTGGGCACCTGTAGTCTCAGCTACTTGGAAGGCTGAGGCAGGGGCATTCTTTGAGACCAGGAGTTTGAGACTAGCCTGGGCAACAGAGGGAGACCCCCACCTTAAAAACATATATATGTGGCCAGGCGCGGTGGCTCATGTCTGTAATCCCAGCACTTTGGGAAGCTGATGCAGGCAGATCACTTGAAGTCAAGAGTTTGAGACCAGCCTGGCCAAAATGATGAAACCCCATCTCTACTAAAAATACAAAAATTAGCCAGGCATGGTGTTGCACACCTGTAATCCCAGCTAGTCTGGAAGCTGAGGCAGGAGAATTGCTTGAACCTGAGAGGCAGAGGTGGCAATAAGCTGAGATTGTGGCACCGTACTCCAGCCTGGGTGACAGAGCGAGACTCCAAAAAATGTGTGTGTGTGTGTGTGTGTGTGTGTGTGTGTGTGTGTGTGTGTGTGTGAGGGCTGAGGGCTGAGGGCTTCTATCAGCTTTACTTGTGTCACAAGTAAACAAAACAATATTCCCTGAGGATATTCACGGCCTACTCACTAAAAGAACTTCTGAGGCCTGGAGCGGTGGCTCATGCCAGTAATCCCAGCACTTTGGGAGGCCGAGGTGGGTGGATCATGAGGTCAGGAGACTGAGACCATCCCGGCTAACACGGTGAAACCCCGTCTCTACTAAAAATAAAAAAAAAAAAATAGCCAGGCGTGGTGGCGGGCGCCTGTAGTCCCAGCTACTCGGGAGGCTGAGGCCGGAGAGTGGCGTGAACCTGGGAGGCAGAGCTTGCAGTGAGCTGAAATCACGCCACTGCACTCCAGCCTGGGCGACAGAGCGAGACTCCGTCTCAAAAAAGAAAAAAAAGAACGTCTGTTTTTGTCTAGAAAGATGCTTCCTTTATTCTGAAAGGGATGATCTATTGCTGTGTTTTGATTGCTGTTGTTGGTAGTTTTGCTTTAATAAAGTGTATCATCATCCTTACCATATCATTCTCTTTCTAACCCAAAAGAGGATTGAGTATACTTCTGTCTTCAGTGATTTATTGAACATGGTACCATGTAAATAGAAATGCATGGGCAGGGCACGATGTCTCATGCCTATAATCCCAGCACTTAAGGAGGCCACGACAGGAAGATAGCTTGAGGCCAGAAATTTGAGACAAGCCTGGGAAACATAGCAAGACCCATCTCTACAAAAAAAAATTTTAGAAAGTTACTTTGACATGGCAGTATGAACCTGTAGACCTAGCTACTCAGGAGGCTGAGGCAGGAGGATTGCTTGAGCCCAGGAGTTTGAGGCTGTAGTAAGCTGTGATGACACTACTGAACTCCAGCCTGGATGACGGAGTAAGACCATGACTCAAAAAAAAAAAAAAAAAAAAAAAAAGAAGAAGAAGAAAAAGAAAAAAAAGAACATAGTCCCATTCAATGGAAACCAAGGTGATAATGCCTATATATAAAAGCAGCCAGTACAGTGCCTGGCACTTGGCAGTTTTTCAAGATTTATTGTAGCATACCTTTTTGCTAGGGAGATTGCCGTAACCTAAGACAGGGAACTGATATTGAAACGGATGAATGCCCTGTGAACTCTATGAATGGATCACAAAACAAAATAAATAAATGCTACAATTAACTTATATCTAAGTAAAAGAACATTTATGGAATGGAAAAAAAAAAGATGAAAGCGTAGCATTTATTGAACCAGGATGAGATTGCATGAGAATAAGTAATCACATCTTTTATTTGACCCGAACGTTTTCTGGTGAAAGTTTGGAATTCAAAGTTGTTTGGGAGACGGAAGGAAGTGATAAAGCAAGCTTGGAATGGGAGAAGTATGATTAAAAGCAGCTTGTACAGAGGTCCACTAGTATGGGTTTTTGGAGGACCAGGGAAAGAATGTGAGAATTTTTCTCAAAGAAGACTGCCCTTCCTTTAGTTTTCCAGAATTAACAAACTAATAGGGAGGATGGGAAATCATGATGACTTCATGGTGATACTGGTACATGGATGAAATAGTACAGGCTGTAGATGGACAGAGAAGCTGATCTGATTTGGAGGAGGGCAGTGGGTTTTGTTACTAGACTAAAAACTCCATACAACCTAGTGATGTGCCTCCCACTCAAAGTCAAGTTGATGTTGACACAATTATTTGACATCATCCAGATGATTGAGAGACTGGTTAGAAAATCTAGATGGAGAGCTTGTGCGCAGACAGCATGGGCACCCCACCAAGCTGATCAGGATGACCAGGGACGCACAGCTCGCCATCTTGGCCAGCATGCCAGGCGTGCCGCACTTCTCCTTTGTCGTTCTCTATCGCTCTGTGGCCATCAGCAATCCCAGGAAGCAGGGATGAAAATAGCGCTTTCTCCACCCGAGGGTTTCAGAACATAATCTAAGGCAGGATGCAGGGGGCGAGGGGCCTTCACACTTCATCCTTTCTACCCATCACGCGTGCGAAACAATCACACCGGGATTTTTCCAAACAACCTTTATTTCCTCAAAGTCTTCCTTAACCCTATGGAACAAGAAGCTGCCACTGAATAGGGCCTACCATAGGGGCTGCTTTCTTTTCTGCTCTCGTCCCTCAATATAAAAATACGTTTTGTGGTCCCCAAACCCCCAAAAAGAAAATCTAGACCCAATAGATTCTTCATTGTCAATTATCCAAGTTGACTGTGTAGAATGCTTAACTCACTCTCGGTTGATATCATGCTTGACTGCCTTTCAACCCTACAGCGAAAAGTCCCTCAAAAGCCCCTTGTGCCTGCCCTTACAGTGCGAGGGGTCAGAGGATGCTGGAGGTAGAGCCCCTGAACAAGCAGCAAAGAGCGCTGTGCACAGCAGAAACCTACAGATGAGGGTGCCATGATGGAGGCGCTCAGGGTGGCAGGCAGGAAGGAGAAACACGGCAGGGAGAGAGGGCGGGGTGAAGATGCGTGATCACAGAATCCACCTGAGAGCTGTTGGAGGTGGGAATCTCTACTCCAGAGGATCAGAACATGGAAAATGTGCTGATGACTAAGGTTTGTTTTTAGAGCTCAATATTTATGGATTAATTTATCCTAGGACGTGGAATGTGGAAAGCTCATCTCCTCCTCAATATTTCCACCGTGTGTTGTTGTGCTTCCTTTTTATCTGATTTGTCTTATTAAAATTTGTTTTAGAGAATGATAGGAAAAGAGAGATGAGAAAAATTAGTCTGTGGTGTTCTTTGATGTTCGTCAGTAAAGTTTGAAAATAATGGCATAGAAGAGCTTTGGAGATCGCCGCGGAGCCAGCGTCGTCAACCAATTTATGTTTAGAAGGTATACGGTATACCTACATATTTAGAAAAAAACTATTTTGAAATCAATAGGTCTCTTAATTGTTACAGAGGCTAGGAAGGGGAGTGGGGGTAAAGGGGGAGGTGGAGATGGCTAATGGGTACAAAACGTATACTTAGAAAGAATAAATAAGGTCTGCTATTTGATAGCACAACAGGGTGACTATAGTCAATAATAATTTAATTGTACATTTAAAAATAACTAAAAGAGTATAATTGGATTGTTTGTAACAGAAAGGATAAATGCTTGAGGGATGGATACCCCATTTTCCATGATGTGATTATCATGAATTGCATGCCTGTCAGAACATCTCATGCACCCCATAAATATATACACCTAATATGTACCCACACAAACTAAAAATCAAAAACTTTTAGAAACTAATCCATGTGGCAAACATAAACATAAAGTGACTGGAAGAGAGAAGAAAAGCATTGACATTGAGTAAAATATAAGAAAAAAGAATGAATAACAATTGCACAAGAAATAAGAAAGAAGTGATCAGAACCAGTTTCTTTCCCGGGGAAGGCTTCTGAGTGGAGGCAGGAGCATTACAGACATGGTGGACCAGAGAAAGACATGAGCAGGAGTGTGTAGGTGATTGTGCCCTAGATATGTGGAAAGGCACTGGTGTGGGGACAGGAAGGTGTGGGGGCTGGAGGCACGGAGTGAGGATGTTCAACAGCATGAAGTGTAGAGAATCAACAGCCTTCACATCCAGACTTCACGAAATTTAAGGTAGGTAGCCATTGTTCTGTATTGATTAATGAAACTAAGAGTGAAAGTGGAACCAGGGCCAGTGGTATGAGCCTGTAGTCGCAGCAACACAGGAGGCTGAGCGGGAGGATTCCTTGAGCCCAGGAGTTCAAAATCAGTCTGGGCAATATAGAGAAATCTTGTCTCTTAAAAAAAAATGGGAAAGATGAAAGATTGGAGACGGGACTCCACACTGGAATGAAAAAACAATACTTTAGTCACGAAATGATGAGAGGCTGACCCTGCACAGATCCGTAGTAATGGCTGTTGAGAAAAGCTTCAGTTGCTGGAGATAAAAGCTAGCATACTGGATTTACTTTATGAAATGGAAATTCTAATAGCATCTAAATGTTTCTTTTAAATCTGGGATTTGGCAGTGTTCATGTTTTAATCATGCAAAACATTTGATTGGTTGGCTGAACCAAAGGATTGTTATTGTTATTTTTGTATCCAGTAATTTATTTTAAAGCTGTGAGTAGAATTTCTGTGTTATGTTGCTTCTGGTTTAGTGGGAAAGAATGTACTATTTAACTTTCCTCAGTAGGAAGGGTAAAAAGAGAGACAGAGAGGAGGCTGATAGTTGTTTATTTTAAATTCTGAAGTTTAGAAAACTAAGGCTGGTGGCTTTATGATCAATGTTTTCAGTAAAAGCCTGTCTGGAAAGGAATGGAATGGAAATTTTGCCTTCTAAAAATTATGTCTGTCTTTTGTTCATTTTATTCAAGACACCATCAACTGAAAATACATGAAGCTTTTCTTGCATGTCTATTCTGAGGATGGAAAAACTTCCAAAGAAGAAGTACCTTATCCCAGATAACTTCTTCCTCCTAGAGATGGGTTTAATAGTTGACTTAGGAGATTTTCCGATCTTGTGAACACAATTTACTTTGGCCTTGGAGATAGGGAATCTGTCGCCTAATAACAACTTAAGTTCGTTGCTTGATATATGACAGTTTGCACCCAGCTATCCAGGCAGACACCAGCTTCTCTCAGTCATGCTCTCATCAAAGACTTTCAGTCCACAGGACTGTCCTTGAATGAGGCTCCTGAATCCCTCTCCCATATCCAGGAGACAAAATAGGGATTTTGTGCAATAAGGCCAGAGAGATGGGAGGAGGGTGTGTGTAGGTAACACACACCTGTTCTCAGACTTGTTGCTATGTATTTTTAAGGGGTGATCTGGAGGTTTTAGGTTTAAATCTAGAGATCATATGGACTTGGTGATTCAGTACCATGAGAGATCCTGAGGTTGCCATTCTGGGAAGTTGCCACTGACTTTCCAGGGAATAAGGGGCAAGATTTTTTTTTTTTTTTAACTATAAGTCCCTGGCTATAGCACTTTTAAGTACCTCAAGATGTTACTAGCCTAGCCAGGCGTGGTGGCACATGCCTGTAATTCCCAGCTACTAGGGAGGCTGAGGCAGGAGAATTGCTTGAACCTGGGAGACGGAGGTTGCCGTGAGCCGAGATCATGCCATTGCACTCCAGCCTGGGCAACAAGAGTGAAACTCCGTCTCAAAAAAAAAAAAGTTGTTACTAGTCAAGGCTTAGAGTGCCAAGAAAGATCTCTAATTAGGGTCTGTCATTCCATGATGGGGTCAGTTTTTTGTTTTTTTCAATTTGTCTGTTTGTTAAGCAGTCTTGCTACTAAACAACAATTCCTCTGTAGTTGAGCATTCATCATGTCCTGTCTGCTCCCGTCTTTCTTCTCGTTCTTCATGGTACTTGATCCTTGTCTCATTGTTTCATTGATTATCCATTTGAAGTACCTTGTCCTCTCTGAAAATATGTCGCATCCTTTATAAACCAATTAAAATTGCACCTCTCCAATAATCCTAGAATGACCCTTTTCTCAGCACCCAGGTATTTAGTATGAATCTTAAAGGACGATGAGTTTCTCTGGAGAACAGGATATTGCAAAAAGCCATTTGTAAGGGAAAATGAAGAGTTCTTGCAAAGATTCGGAATAGAGAAATGCATGTTGTATTGATCTGATGTGATCTGATTCCAGGATGCTTGGAATCAATATAAGTTGATTATGAGAAGGTAAGCTCTAAGGACGCTGAGCATCTTGTACACTGTGCTAAGGACTTTATTCCATAGTCAAGTTGATGGTTTCCACCAGATATTCAGATATTTATTTGTGACTGAAAATTCTAGCATCTGCCAAGATTTCTAGGCAATATAATTGGTTGCCTGGTTTGATGATAACAATGACTCTTCTCAATCTCTTCAATTTTCTCTTCTGTTCATGTTCAAAGAAGCTTCACTGAATAAACTCTGGCTTTATCCAAGTATCCTAAACCTTGGTCCTTTGTATCAATCTGGAAGGTCCTCAGGATCCTTCGGGATTTATGAAAGTTCAGCCCTCTTTTCTTTGTGTGCTGGTTAAAAGGCAGCATACCTGACCTAACATCAAACTAAACTTAGAAAGTGAGAAATCAGGCAGGGTGCAGTGGCTCACACCTGTAATCCCAGCACTTTGGGAGGCCAAGGTGGGCGGATTATCTGAGGCCAGGAGTTCGAGATCAGCCTGGCTAACATGGTGAAACCCCATCTCTGATAAAAATACAAAATTAGCTGGGCGTGGTGGTATGCGCCTGTAATCCCAGCTACTCAGGAGGCTGAGGCAGAAGAATCACTTGAACCCAGGAGGCAGACGTTGCAGTGAACTGGAATTGCACCACTGCACTCCAGCCTGGGCAACAGAGTGAGACTCCATCTCCAAAAAAAAGAAAGTGAGAAATCAATCATGAGGAACTGATATGAGATTTTCGTATGTTGGAAGTCAAATAAAAGTGAACATATATAGTTTACAGTCATCATATATTCTAATGAACTGACATGAATTCTGTGAAATAAACATTTTCCTTTTCACAAAGATAGGAAGCCTATGATCCACATAAAAATGGGGTCATTTAACCATGTCCCTATTTGTAAGACTGACATATATTGCCTATGTCATCGGCCTCACAGCTCTGCCAGGGAGATAAGTGATTAAAAGGGCATGGGAGAGTTTCCTTGTAATTCATAGCACTATTAAATCTTTCTTCTGTATCTATTCATTTAGTTGCTCATGCACTTACTAATTCATACATTAAATCAATATTATTAAGGACTGACCATCTGCCAGTCAGATGTGTTAAGTGCTGGGGTTTCAGCATTGAACAAGTCACGGAGTCTGATATTATGCATCTTATAGTTGAGCTTATAAGGGGGCTGGGAAGTTCTATGCTGAGTCAGTCATTGTAAGAATGATGTGTATTACTAAGAAAGCAGGCTGCTAAGGAAGCATAAAATAGGTGGTCCTAACTTAGCCAAGGGGGACCAGAAAATCCTTCCTGGATAAAGTGACATTTAAACTGAGACTTGAAAGATGAGGGGAAATTAGGTAAAGAGCTCTAAAGAGTCTGGAATGAATGCTCTTCTAAGAATCTACCATTAGTCAAAACGCTTTCTGACATCATGTAAAAAACAGTTTCAAAGCACTGCCCTTTGGAGCAGCCATCCATCTCTGGATCTTGGCTGCAATAAGTTCATCTTAGTGATTTCACTAAGTCCAGTGATTAAATATTGCACGGGGAGAGCAAAGAGATGTGACTCTTTGACGTGCTTGGCTCCATCCCAGATTTATGTCTACGAAGAGGGATAAACTCAGGAAACGCCAAGCCAGGAAAAATGTGCTGGCATCTCCTCTTGGCAGTCAAGGACTTTTGAAATCATTGGCGACTAGATCAAATCAGAACAGGCAAATTTGATCTAAAGTAATTCCCAATACTCTAATTACATCCAAATTATCAAACAAAAATTTAAAAATTGATGAAACTCTCTGACCTCAAGAGAGTCCAAACATCAAATAGCAACAATGTTTGTGGATGACAATACTATAAATAACTTTTCATCCAGGTGCATCATCAGAGGGGCTCCAGATTTCTTTAAAAAAGAAAAATGTAAAAAGAATGCTTGACAGTCTACGTTTTAAAAAAATTTTTAATTTCCACCTTTAAGGCTGTTTATTATATTAGCACAATATTTTTAAAATGTCTTTTTACCTCTAATCCTTGTTCTGAACCGCTTTCACTGGTTTTCCTATTCTTACCCAATTATTCTGTTCCAGTAGTTTTTCTTTCATGAGTCCCGCTTCCACTGGCTTCATTCCATTTCTCTTAGACATGCTCTCTCCTCTCACTGTGCCAGACTGTTTTGTGGTCTCTTCTTTCTGCAGTATGCATCTCCTTCCTTCTTTTCTTTTGCCATTAATGTTCTGTTTTTCCATGAATTTTCCCAGGATTCTGATTTTTCTCTATTTACTCCTTTCCTTATTTTCTGAGTTATTTGATCTCCATTTCCATCTTCATACTAGCTTGTTTGTTGTTACTTTGTTGGCAAGTGTAAGTATTTTCCTATTTCTACTTCTGGCACATACATTATATATCAAAGAAACCTATTATCTGTGCCACTGGAAAAGAAAATACCAACTCTGCCATCACTTTAGGCTACATAGAAATCACTGCACTTTGGTGGCCAGTGATTACTATTCATTTTTACATTCAACAATTTATATTTCATTATTATATGTATTTATACATCTTTATACACATGTATAAAAATAAACATTTTCATGCAGGGCATGGTGGCTCAGCACTTTGGGAGGTCGAGGTGGGTGGATCACGAGGTCAGGAGTTCAAGACCAGCCTGGCCAAGATGGTGAAACCCCATCTCTACTAAAAATACAAAAAATTAACTGGGTGTGGTGGCGGGCGCCTGTAATCCCAACTACTCGGGAGGCTGAGGCAGAGAATTTCTTGAACTCAGGAGGCAGCAGAGGTTGCAGTGAGCTGAGATCACGCCACTGCACTCCAGCCTGGGTGACAGAGTGAGACTCCATCTCAAAATAAATCTCAAAATAAATAAACAAACATTTTCAGATATTATGTACTCTTAAATTTATAGATCCTCTCTTGTCCACTCTCTCTGTTAATATGACAGGCTCCGAGGCATATAATTATTTTCCACTCACAGGAATTAGTGCACAAAGGGGATAAAGAACTTTCTCAAGGCTGGGCATGGTGGCTCATCCCTGTAATCCCAGCACTTTAGGAGGCTGAGGTAGTGGATCACCCGAGGTCAGGAGTTCGAGACCAGCCTGGCCAGCATAGTGAAATCCCGTCTCTACTAAAAACACAAAAATTAGCCAGGCATGGTGGCACACACCTGTAGTCCCAGCTATTCGGGAGGCTGAGGCAGGAGAATTACTTGAACCCAGGAGATGGAGGTTGCAGTGAGCCGAGATCACGTCATAGCACTCCAGCCTGGGTGACAAGGTGAAACTCTGTCTCAAAAAAAAAAAAAAAAAAACTTTCTCAAGGACCACAATCTCCTAAATGGCAAAGCCAGAATTCAAACCATGACATCCTGCCTTTAAGCCCAAGTATCTTTCTGCTTCTGTTTTTCTACTTATACTGTTATCAGCATCATGTTGAATGGGCCATTCAGGTAATGTAGGATGGAAAGCTTTGTGTGAGAGAAAAAGAGCTAAAAATATATTAGCAAAAATATCAATAATCTCTTGAAGCAAAAATTATTTCTTCTTTGGCCTACTTAATCCTATGAAAAAAAAAAAACATGTATGTGTGGGAGAGAGCAAGGGTGCTGGGGGCCGAGGGCTACCTTACAAGCCAGTCCATGACTGTTTCTTCTTCGTGCTTGGCACTGGGGAAGACGAAGAAGCAAGACCGCAGTAACACTGAGGGTAACTCATCCTTCAAGCCCCGCACGTCTTTTCATTGTTATTTCTTAGCATTTCTGTAGCTGAAGGCTTCAGGCATGAGATGCCAGAAGTTATGTGTATGGAGCAAGTCCATTTTTTCCAGCTTTTCAATACTGCCTGCTCTGATTCCAGAGGAAGCTCTTTCCTGTCTCCATTTGTCTGGCTTCTCATCCCTTAGAATGCCCATACTATTTTCTCATATAAACTTTATTTGCTATTGCTGCTCTCCTACTGCTTAACTCAACTGTATTTTCCCCCCAGATATTTTCTAAGGCTGCCAGAGCTCCAAATCCTAACACAGTGTGGTTCCACAAAGTTGGACATATTAGCAAGAAATACGGTAGAAAATAAAGAGATGTTGGCTGGGTGCGGTGGCTCACGCCTGTAATCCCAGCACTGTGAGAGGCCGAGGCGGGCAGATCACCTGAGGTCGGGAGTTCGAGACCAGCCTGACCCACATAGAGAAACCCCGTCTCTACTGAAAATACAAAACTAGCCAGGCATAGTGGCGCATGCCTGTAATCCCAGCTACTCGGGAGGCTGGGGCAGGAGAATTGCTTGAACCTGGGAGACGGAGGTTGCAGTGAGCCGAGATCGTGCCATTGCACTCCAGCCTGGGCAACAAGAGCAAAACTCTGTCTCAAAAGGAAAAAAAAAAAAAGAAAAGAAAGAGACATTGATGAGTTTTTAGAATATTACATCATAAATCATCATCATCATTATCATCATCATCATCTTCACAGTTCTAGTTAATTCTTTTTGGGTGCTCAATCTGTGCTAGTCACTTATAATCTCTCATCCTAATTACACTCATGAAATGTAGATATTATTAAACAGCTTATAAATGAGAGAACTGAGTTTAAATGGCTTGCCCAAAGTCAACCACTTGGTCTATGGTAGAACCAATATTTATGCCCGGGACGCAGGCCATAAGCAAGCCCTATCCCCAGTCTCCATCCAGTGGCTCAGTCCCTGCCCATCACACCCCCATCTTCATTCTCCTGAACCCCATAAGAAGTCCAAGCCTCAGGCCATGTATCATTACACAGATGTCCCCACCAGTTCATCCATACATATCTATACTTTCCCCAATCTGACCCATCAGTCACCCTCCCAAATCTTTCCTTTGTGCCAAGAACTCTCCAATATCTTCAAACTCTTCTCTGAACATTTTCCTCACTTCCTAGCACTAACCAAAACCTTGCTGTACCCTGAGGTCCCTGCTTTTCCCGTGGCCTTTTTAAGAGGAAGTTGTTTGGTTCCCACATCTCCAAATGCCTCAGACCCTAGAGGTAGGCTAGGTTTTCCTTGCTCTTCATTGCTACTTCTTTTTTTTTTTTTTTTTTTTTTTTTTGAGATGGAGTCTCACTCTGTTGCCCAGGCTGGAGTGCAACGGCATGATCTCAGCTCGCTGCAAGCTCCGCCTCCTGGGTTCAAGCAATTCTCCTGCCTTAGCCTCCTGAGTAGCTGGGATTACAGGCACGCGCCGCCACACTCAGCTAATTTTTGTATTTTTAGTTGAGACGGGGTTTCACCATGTTAGCCAGGATGGTCTTGATCTCTTGACCTCGTGATCTGCCCACCTGGCCTCCCAAAGTGCTGGAATTACGGGTGTGAGCCACAGCTCCTGGTCCTTCATTGCCACTTCTAAACCACCTCTCCTCTGTCCTTCAAAGCCCCTAGATCCCTTGAAACTCAGGTGATCAGAAGTTTCCACCCGTTACTCCTCCTATTGGTAGGTGTCAACCTCCTAGCTAATTGCCCTCAGTACTGATGAATATGAGTACCTAGCTGTCTTTCTTTCCGCCACTGCAATGCCTCTCATAATTCTCGTTCATGTTAAAATCTACTTGAATGATTTATTCTTCACCGTAGTTCTCCTGTCCACATCTTCTTCTTTTGCTGCAATAATATTTTCTCACACTCCACTTTAGCCACTCACCTACATTGTCACACTCTAGATCTGCTTATCACTTTGTAAAGTGGCCCAGACACTTTCTCTCTATATGACTTAAGTTAGTTAATGTCTCATTCTGCAGCAGTTTCTTCTATAAAATGAGTCTATCTGTGATTCTAACTCCAAAAGCCGTTGTATAGTTTGAATGAGTTCGTGAATATAAACCTCCCAGTACATTGCCTGTCACATTTGAAATATTCAATAACAGTTATTCTTATTATGGTTACTGTTACCACTTATAAATCCTCGATTTTAAAAGTCCATGTCTGAACATCGCTTTCCACTCATTTCATCTAATTTACTCTAGTTCTCACCCTATATCAAATATCCTCCTGCACTGAGCCCTCTGGTCCATTTGCTCTACCAGTTTTTTACTATTTATCACCCCAAGAATGTCCTCCTTACCCAGCCTAGCTTCCATGATACAGCTCAAAAACCATTCCCTTGCAAACATCGTTTTCTTAGGTTGGTCCTCTTCCCCACAGTCACATTTGTCTAGAATTCCCAGATATTATTTACTCCATATCCTCCCCAGAGCAGCTGAAATTAGCCTGAGAAAAGTTGCACAACCAGGGTAACTGGATACATCTCAAATGTAAAACCACAAGTATGAAACAGGAATTCAACAAAGTCATATAATCCTTCCATGCTGCCCTGGTCTCTTCTCTTTCCCCCTCTTCTCAAATCTCCAGTACCAGGCCGGGCATGGTGGCTCAAACGCTTGTAATCCCAGCTTTGGGAGGCTGAGGCAGGCAGATCACGAGGTCAGGAGTTCGAGACCAGCCTGACCAACATGGCGAAACCCTGCCTCTACTAAAAACACAAAAATTAGCTGGGTGTGGTGGCGGGCGCCTGTAATCCCAGCTACTCAGGAGGCTGAGGCAGGAGAATCGCTTGAACCCGGGAGGCGGAGGTTGCAGTGAGCCGAGATCGCGCCACTGCACTCCAGCCTGGGCCACAGAGCAAGACTCTGTCTCCAAAAAAAAAAAAAAAACTCCAGTGTCCCCACTCCCCTTGCTATCAGATGTTGGTCGCACCTCATACTTCATCCAGAATGTCTCCATTGTCACACCATCCAGTCCCTTAAACCACAGTCAGTGCCATGCCTGTCTGTCTTAGGCCAGACATGCATCCATGTCTAAGGCCAGCCTCTCTTCTCTGTGCACTGGAGTCCACGTGACTTTCGTAAGACACATGACTACTGTTATCCCTCCTCAACTGTTTGAAAAGTGCTTTTCCCAGATGTTCCCACAACTGCATTTTCTCTTCATTCAGCTAAAAATTCAAAGGTTACCTTCTCAACGAGGCCTCTCCTGCTACCCTGAAAAGTTTCCTCCCTACATTGCTTTACCACCTTCATTGCAGTTGTTAGCACCAACAATTATCTTAGCCATTTTTTTACACCCTTCTTTTTTGTTTTTTAGACGGAGTCTCACTCTGTTGCCCAGGCTGGAGTGCAGTGGCATGATCTTGGCTGACCGAAACCTATGCCTCCTGGGCTCAAGCAATTCTCCTGCCTCGGCCTCCGAGTATCTGGGACTACAGGCACTAATTTTTTTGTATTTTTAGTAGAGACGGGGTTTCTCCATGTTGGTCAGGCTGGTCTTGAACTCCAGACCTCAGGTGATCTGCCCACCTCAGCCTCCCAAAGTGCTGAACCACAGCACCCGGCCAGTTTTACACCCTTCTTATCTCTCCCACTTGAATAAAAGTAAGCTTCATAAGGGCAAGAGATGCCTGTCACTCCTGTAACCCAAGCTCCTTGGATAGTGCCTGGCACTCTGCAAGAACACAGTGGACGTTTTTGAGTAATTGACTCTAAAAGCCTGTGTTATTATTTCTACTGCAGCAGATTATCTTCCCACTGAAGGCAAACGATGAAAACAATCAAAGGAAAACAATTCTGGATGAGCACTTTCTGGAGAAACAGAGGCCACACTTTCTATGGCAGAGACTTCTAAGAGAGCAATGAAGGAAGGAATGGTTGCAGTGGCACTGTGATGAGAAACAGAAGAGTGCGTCCCATGAAATTAAGACTAGCTAGCTGGAGAAAGGCTCAGATCCCAAAAGATTTTACTTGTAGATGGGCAGAGCTCACATAGAAATATCTATAGGGCAGGGCACCGTGGCTCACACCTGTAATCCCAGCACTTTGGAAGGTCAAGGTGGGTGGATCACGAGGTCAGGAGATCAAGATCAGCCTGGCCAAGATGGTGAAACCCCATCTCTACTAAAAATACAAAAAATTAACCGGCAGATCACCTGAGGTCAGGAGTTCGAGACAAACCTGGCCAACATGGTGAAACTCCATCTGTACTAACAATATAAAAATTTGCCAGGCATGGTGGCATCCACCTGTAGCCCCAGCTACTTGGGAGGCTGAGGCACAAGAATTGCTTGAACCTGGGAGGTGGAGGTTGCAATGAGCCGGGATCGCACCACTGCCCTCCAGCCTGGGTGACAGAGCAGCACTCCGTCTCAAAAAAAGAAAAGAAGAGAAAAGAAGTATTGTATAGAAACAATGTGTGCACAAAGACAATTTTAACTAAAATAAAAAATGCCCTTGGATATTTGACTCAAGAGAGTGCCAGGGAGGCTGAAAAGCTGGGTTTTTCAATAAAACCAGCTGAAATGTGGAGAGTTCCATGGTCAACTATATGTCTTAACAGAGTGGCCACTGGAATTTTCATTAGCTGCACTCATTTCAAAGGGTTATAATAGGATAATTGAACAGAAAGATCCCTTTGGACCTGAACTTGGCAGAGAAAGTCTTTCCCAGAAGATCATTTCACCCAATATTTGTAATAGATAAGTGTCAAAATATGTCATTTGGAAGATGATACTTTCAATTCATACAAGAATAGTTTTTAGAGATAATTTTTACAAAATAGAAAATATGTAATTAATTAGCTTGATTCCCAAGTTAGAAAAATAAGACACACATGTGTGCTATGCTGTGACTGCTAAACCCACTAGTTTTACAGTATCATTCAATTCTGCAATTCTCACTATCCTCCTACTATATATTGTAGTTATCAAAGAGGTTAAAAAAATTTGTTTTACAAATTTTATGAAACATTGATCACCTCATTATTATTTTCAAAGAGTTTTGAAAACTTGCCATCTCTTTTGTCTGGTTCTTGGGAGAAGCATATTTCTATTAGGTTGGTACAAAAATAATTGTTTTTGTTATTACTTTCAATGGCAAAAATCACAATTACATTTGCACCAACCTACTAGTTATTATTATTTTTGTTCTTAGGATTTTGATGAAAGTAAACTTACTTTAATTTAGCAGTAAATCCCATCAGTTGAATGAAGAGAGAAATGGATAGATAGAAATGTGTAGAAATGTGAAGAAGCAAATATATTAAAATATCCTAAAATGTCAGTGTAGAACATGGGTGGGGGATGTCTAAGTGTTAGCTGTAATATTTGAATATTTCTATTTCTTTAATTTTTTCATAATATAATATTTTAAAACAAATTCGAATAAGACTAATCCATATGATATTCTTTATGTAACAGTTTTCAGTTTTGTGTTCATTATACCTTGCTTGGTTCAGATGTCATGGGATTAATTGTATAACCAAAAGATACGAATACCTAAATCTTGAGAGAATATATTTTCCAGTCATTAGAAATAAAACCTAATGATATGGACTCTTAATTGATGACTCTATAATTGGCTAGATTTGTAAGAAGAATAATTTGCTCAAGGGCTTATGAGAAAAAAGAAAAAAAATTTTTTTAGCAACTTTTTTTCTTTTTAAAAGACTAGTCAAGTGCAGTAGTGAAAAGGGGGTAAAGAACAGAACAAGTTCAGTCTGTAACTGACTGTGAATAGTCAATTGAGATAACTCACAAACTTCACACTGGCCCCTAGCAATTTTTTTCTATGAGACAAAACCCAGGAAGGTGTGTATCACGTGTGCCCCCTTCCGTGTATTTATATATACATGCAAATTCACTTGCATGTACACACAGCATTTCTGAAAACAAACATAAGAGGCTGGGTCCATTGGTTGCTTCCAGGGAGGAACATTAGCCAGCCAGCACTCAGAGGTGGGAGAGAGACTTCACTGTCTGCCCTTTTATATCTTTTGGATATTGATCTGGATGAATGTCATGCTCATGCCAAAAGTAGAATGAGTTACTACCTGTACAGTTAGCAGGCAGTAGGCAGGGATTGTGAGTAAAGGCTGTTCTCAGACGTAGTGGGCTGTTTCTCAACAGAGACCCCTCTCCGGGCCTCTGAGAAACAATCGTTTATTTGGAATTCATTATATGTCGGATCCATATGTGTTAATGGCTATGCATGCATTCTTTCTTTAATATACATGGCGATAGAGTTGCATAAGGGACTCACTCTATTTTATAGAGGAATCTGTGGCTCAGGAATTCGAAGTTCTTCATCTAAGTTCATACACTTAGGAAGTGGCAGAATGGGGCTTAAATGCAGGTTTGTTTGAATCAAAGTTGTACTACTGTCACTCTGTCACCTCGATTACTTGTTGGATTACTGAAAATCAGTCACAATATCTCTATTATTTGATTTATTGGTCTTTTCTTTCTTTCTTTTTTTTTTTTCTGAGACAGAGTCTTGCTCTGTCGCCCCAGCTGGAGTGCAGTGGCACGATCTCGGCTCACTGCAACCTCCGCCTCCCTGGCTCAAGCAATTCTCCTGCCTCAGCCTCCTGAGTAGCTGGGATTACAGGCACACACAACCATGCCTAGCTAATTTTTGTATATTTAGTAGAGACGAGGTTTCATAATGTTGGCCAGGTTGGTCTTGAACTCCTGACCTCGTGATCGGCCTCCCAAAGTGCTGGGACTACAGGTGTGAACGACCGGGCCCGGCCGATTTATGGGTCTTTAACAGAACAGTAATAATTTCCCTAATATTTTACTCTGAAAGCTTTATTAAACACCCCATGTCCTTTGATACAGAATCTGAGAGCTAGTAGAATCCTCAGAAATCATCCCTTACCAGGCCGGGCGCGGTGGCTCACGCCTGTAATCCTAGCACTTTGGGAGGCCGAGGCGGGCGGATCACAAGGTCGGGAGATCGAGACCATCCTCGCTAACAGAGTGAAACCCCATCTCTACTAAAAATACAAAAAATTAGCCGGGCATGGTGGCGGGCGCCTGCAGTCCCAGCTACTCAGGAGGCTGAGGCAGGAGAATGGCGTGAAGCTGGGAGGCGGAGCTTGCAGTGAGCCGAGATCGCGCCAGCCTGGGCCACAGAGCGAGACTCTGTCTCAAAAAAAAAAAAAAAAAAAAAAAAAAAGAAATCATCCCTTACCAACACCTTTAGCTGATGGAAAGGGAAATAATGTACAACCAGGTTAAATAATGTATTCAAAGCCATATGGCCTCTGAGTAGCATTGCTAAGAAAGATTTATATGGCTCTTCCATTGTATCATGATGCTATTTTATTGTAAAATGCAAAATTAGAGGTGTAAATTAATTTAATCTGATTGGTTAAGTACTACATTGAGTTTAGCATCCACACATTGCGTCTGCTATGGCATGCCTTGATTCCTTATATCAATATCAACTCTTAGTTTAGCTCATTAATCTAGAGTACATTTAGCCCAGCTTCTACAAGGCCAATCTCTTTACCCCAACCTTGTTGCTGGCACTGTTCCACTCAGGGATGGATAGAGAACAAGCAAGCAAATAATGCTTTTTTCAATAACATGTCTTTGTTCTTTCAACACAGGCGAAGTTATGTTACATAAAGTCATTTCACTGATATATTTCAAGTTTTCATGGGAATTACAATTTCTCTTTTTTAAAAATGTCCCCGCTGACTGCACTGATAGGGAATTAAAATTTCTATTGGGTAAATTTAAATGAAGGGGAAATTGACAATGACATCACCTGGTGGGAGAATTCAGGGACACATTTCAAAGCAGCCTCATGGTAAATAGGTTACCAGGACCTCAACTACATAACAGAGTAATTCTGAGATGTGTTAGAATACATCAGTATTGATGCTAAATCCAATGTACACTAAATCAAATCCTATAAATATTGATTGATCTCCTGCCAAGAAGACCTCTTAATCACTGTGATACGTTGGCAGTTTTGAAAATGGCATAATAGGCTGGGCGTGGTGGCTCATGCCTGTAATCCCCCCACTTTGGGAGGCCGAGGATGGGCGGATCACAAGGTCAGGAGATCGAGACCATCCTGGCTAATATGGTGAAACTCCGTCTCCACTAAAAATACAAAAAAATTAGCCGGGCATGGTGGTGGGCACCTGTAGTCCCAGCTACTGGGGAGGCTGAGGCAGGAGAATGGCGTGAACTTGGGAGGCGGAGCTTGCAGTGAGCCAAGATCGTGCCACTGCACTGCAGCCTGGGCGACAGAGGGAGACTCCGTCTCAAAAAAAAAAAAAAAAAAAAAAAAGACAATGGCATAATGATGGGTAGAGAAACTCAAATAGAGACATCCAGAAAAGAATGGAAAGAGTCAAATTTCCCCTTGTTTCCAAGTGCTAGAGCTCTTTACTAGTGAACGTTAATCTGTATGGCAGAGAGTAAAGGGCACACTCAACAGGTGGCATTTCTTTCAGGATCTAGTGACATTTTCAACACCAACCCTGGTGAAGTGGAAGAGGAGGTCAAGGAGTGCGCTCCAATGGCAGTGGCCAAGTGAGGGGTGTCATCACCCTAAGAGTTTCATGAATGGCAGTGCATATATAACTCCACGCTGATTTATGGCCACCTTTAGAGGCCTCATGAATATTACCTATTTATTCCTTCCTTGGGCTTCCCACATATCTAAACTTTGGGACTTGTTACCTTGTACTGCGTTCATTTATGTGCCACCTTCTTCATTTTGATGGTGAAAACTAGGTCTGATTTGAGGGAGGGTACATCCTAGGAGTCAATTCTTTTGGTTCTAGAGCTAGATAATTTTGATTCAAATCCTCCTCTGACATTGATGAGAATGTGATATCGGCCAATTCACACAACTGCTCTGTGCCTCAGTTTCCTCATCTTTATATATTTGAGTAGTTGCTAGGAGGATTAAATAAATTTATATATATATTAAATACATTTATATATATATATGTATATAACATTTAGAAGAGTGCCTGGCACATGGTGAGAGGTAAGTCCTCCATAAGGTAAATTATTATTATTATTATTTTGTGTCAATGAATGTCATAGCAGTAATTTTATTATTTTAATTTAATTTAATAAAACCCACAATTTTTAATTAGTGATTAGTAATTATTTTAATTAATGATGACATGTATTCACACTTCACACAAATTCATAAAGAATAAATCATAGAGGTAAAGCTATAATAAATATCACATTGCAAATACACAATTAGCAACATGAAAAGTACATGGAATTTTTGAAGCATGAAGAAACTTGAGTGCTAACTCTAAACAGATAAAGCATCTGTTTATCTTGGATAAGTCTTTTAAACTTTATAAAGAATAACTATGCAGAGATAACATTTAGTACTTAAGAAATAATAAATTTACATGACTTTCTCTCTCTTCCTGTGAAATAAAGATATTAGACCAGATTATTACTTCTTGCTAAAAGATTCAATGACTCTCAGACAGGAGATGAAAATATAATAACAATTGCCTTGGGTCTCCAATCTTGACACATACTGTCTACAGAATTTGGCACACTTTGTTGCTGTCCTCTATTATAATATATGTGTTTGAATCTTTTCTGACTATCTAGTTTAAGACTGGAAACCATTAATTTAACTTATTAATTCAATGGACATGTATTAAGCATCTGCTATATCCAAGTTAATAGGATCTGGAAATACATAGTGACAAAAGCAGTCTCTCGCCTCCGTGAGTTTACAGTCTAATTGTGAGAGAAGCGTGAAAACAAAGAGTTCAATAATCATTACATATCCACAGTGGAAGTCTATACAGAGCACAATGGGAGCACAGAAGAATGAGAACGTGTTTGCACTGTGAAATGGCCGTAGTAAGTAAAAGTTTCACAAAGGAAGTAAAAGCTGTTTAGATTTTTATCATTCTCTTCCCATCAGTCCCTATTATACTGCTGGCACTTTTTGAAATAAGCAGAAACCTAATATGCAATTTCCAAAGATTGTCTTTAAAGATGTACCTTATTGAATACATGTGGATATATAGCCTAGGGCACATGCTACACCTTCTTGTCACTAAGTACGCACATTGCAGGAGCCTGCCAGTCCCAGCATAGTTTCTCATTTCCACTTCATAACACTGTCTACAAGATTTTACAAAGAGATCAATTGCTCATTACGTTACTGGTATCTTGTCCTCAGTTTGTCCCACATGCAGTGAGAGAAATATTTTATACCATCCTATGGAAGACTGAGAATAAAAAGAACATATCCTTGCTGTAAGTTAAACATCTAAAAATGGTATGATTCTTTTCAGAGTGTGCTGCCAGATGCTGCTAGATACTGGGTATGTGGCCAGAAGATGTTAACCCAACACTAACAGTCATATAAATCATGATTCCCCAAAGGTCAGATGCTACCACTGCATGGTTATTTTCTTCAACTTACTCTGTAGTCTCTCTTATAGAATTTGTAAGGTTTATGCTGTACACATTATGGGACAAAAGGTCTTTATCTCATGAAACAGGGCTAGGCAGTGAGAAACCCAACGAGAAGGGCAAAATTAAGATTTCCTACGGATGTCACCAGCAAAGTCATTATTATTGAAATTGAATAAATGAATGGAAAAAGCAAAACAAGCTCTGAGTTAGAAAAATAAATTACACATGGCCAAGCTCAGATTCATTCCTATTACCTACAATTAGAATTTTTAAAAATTGAGCCTTCCCTTTGAATTTCCAAAATTAGTAGGAAGGGGGAAGTGAAAAGGCCATTAAAGGAAAAAAGGAAGAGATCAGAGTTTTGAAGAGACCATCAACAGATGTTGTTTCAGAAATTGGATTTGGAATGAGTCCAAAAGGACTATTTCTAAGACAAGAGCTAAGTAGACCATGGGTGAATTTCATCTGATGCATTTCATCTGAGCATTGATACTGGAAGACACATTAGAGAGGGCATCTGGAAGTTAGCTTACCAAAAGGAAATAGGATCACTTAAGGAGTCTAATAATGAGCAAAAATAAAGAGATTGAGCTATTGGAAGGAAGGCAGAATCATGTGATGGTTTCTTTAGAAAGTCTTGATCATCTTTAGATGTATATCTTAGAGACTCACTCCTAGAATCTTACACACCAGTAATTTTTTTTTTTTTTTTTTGAGATAGATTCTCACTCTGTCACCCAGGCTGAAGTGCGGTGGCGTGATCTGCAACCTCTGCCTCCCGGGTTGAAGCGGTTTCTGTGCCTCAGCCTCCCGAGTAGCTGGGATTACAGGCGTGCGCCGCCACGCCCAGCTAATTTTTCTGTATTTTTAGTAGAGATGGGGTTTCACCATGTTGGCAAGGTTGGTCTTGAACTCCTGACCTCAAGTCATCCACCCACCTCAGCTTCCCAAAGTGCTAGGATTACAGGTGTGAGCCACCATGCCCAGCCACACCAGTATTTCTTTACCCTCTATTTTGATCCAATGTTTATCCAGAAGTAGTTCAAGATTAAGAAGTAGTTCAAGTGAGCAGACAACTTGAATTCCATTGAGCCTAATCTATATTTATTTTCCCTCCATAGTTACAATATGGAAAACATAATCACGTAAGTGTAAAGGAAAGTATATTCTACGTCCTGAAAAATCACTGTGGTTCATTCACGCTGGGAAAGGTGGCCGCTTTTCTGACATGAATCCGTAGCTGCATTATCATGGGGGTTTCCTGGGTAAAGAGGAGGCTGCCGGTCTCTTGCTTCCCCCACTTTTCCATTTTTTCCTCTTTTGCAGCCAGCCATGGTCCCATGCTTGCTAGCAACAGAAAGTACAGCAGATGGCAGCAAGCAGCTGCTGCATTTTCCAAACCTTGGTCAGCAACTGTTTTCAAGCCAGCACAAGGCAGGTTGAATGGAGGCAAAGATGGATGTGGATTTGTTAAGAGTCCCCCGTCCTCCATCTCTTGTTCTGTCTCTACCTTTCTGCCCTGCCCAGTGATGAGCAAACACCTCATTTCACAGAAGCAGAGCAAACTGGAAACAAGAGGAGGAGACAAAAGCTGGGGCTTGGCGGGACACACTGAACTGGACTCAAGCCTGAAGTGACCTAGTCAGGCGTGGTATCGATGTCGTGGCAGATCTTCCTTGGCCTCCGTGGGCTGTTGAGCAATTTCTTGGACCCACATCTGTGAATGCTAATCCAACACCAAACAATATTTTGCAGAATTATTCCATCCACTTTGCAACTTCCAGCTTTGTAGGGGCTTCACGGGGGCTGCAGGTAGCAGGAAAGACCTGAGGGTGAACTGCGTTGTGCTGAGAGATAAGCCTGGATTTTACCAATTCAGGCTTGGCAGACCACATCAGAGCTGTCAAAAGGCTATGAACTGCTCTGAGCTCCTGCCTTTAAACTTGCCCTGTTTAGTTCAGCTCAGAAGCCTGGAATTTGTGAAGGTAAACAATTCTTATCCCATGGATAAACTGGATAATGCAATTTAAAATACAGACGTATATTCTTCAGACAAACGTAACCGCCCTGACATTAATGGGGCCATTTATCTATGTTGAAGTCAGTAAGCCATAAGCACTGTCAGTGATGTGGGGATTTGGGGATTTGATTAGTTTTGGGTTTCCAGTGGCTTAACAGGAACAGAGGGTGCGAGGTGAGGTAGCTGGTCTTATCTTCTTGAGTTATTAGATAACTTGTGTTCTTTCTCCTTTGTGCTAAAACCTAAAAGGTAAATTTGTTCTTTTGTGTTTTCCATAATTCAACAGATTGTTAACCTGGTTTATTTTTCATAACCAGCAAATTGTACCTATGCTGATCATTCAGTTTTGTGGTCAAATATTACAAAGCTGGGTTATGTAAGCTTATATTTTTCATGAAATCAGCCCTATAAGAAATTAGGATTACAGGTCCTAACACTTTTTTCTTTTTGAAACGGAGTCTCGCTTTGTCGCCCAGGCTGGAGTGCGGTGGTGGGATCTCAGCTCACTGCAAGCTCCGCCTCCTGGGTTCACACCATTCTCCTGCCTCAGCCTCCCAAGTAGCTGGGACTACAGGTGCCCGCCACCACGCCCGGCTAAAGTTTTATATTTTTAGTAGAGTTTCACTGTGTTAGCCAGGATGGTCTCGATCTCCTGACCTCGTGATCCGCCCGCCTCAGCCTCCCAAAGTGCTGGGATTACAGGTGTGAGCCTCCGTGCCCAGCCTACAGGTCCTAACACTTTAACTTCCAGAGTTCAAGATTATTAAAGTAACTTCAATACTGGACGGCATTTGTAAGCTTTACGTGCTCCCAGCTGGTTCGTTGACATGGAGTTCAGACTTGCATGCAATCACCCTTGACTATCTTTGGCTGTCCTTTCTCAGAAACAGGGCAATCATCTTAACAAAAACCTGGCCAATAGATTTCCAAATGTTGCGTTCATAGAAAGAACACTGGTTTTGAGAAAAACTTTCACATGTATTTTCTTTTCCCTTCTCTCTCTTTTTTTTTTTTTCAGACAGGGTCTCGCAGTGTTGCATAGGCTGGAGTTCAGCGGCATGCTCACGGCTCACTGCAGCCTTGACCTCTTGGGCTCAAGAGCTCAAGCAGTCCTCCCATCTCAGCCTCCCAAGTAGCTGGAACCACAGGCACATGCCACCACACCCAACTAATTTTTGTATTTTTAGTAGAGGCAGGGTTTCGCCATGTGTCTCAGGCTGGTCTCAAATTCCTGGGCTCAAGGGATCTGCCTACCTCAGCAACCCAAAACACTGGGTTTACAGGCATGAGCCGCCGTGCCCTGCCTCAAATGTATTTTCAAGTGGAGCAAAGTTAAGGGGCTCACAGTCACTTGAAGTTTTAGCAAAACTTGGGAGTAAGCGAGAATGTTCTCTTAAGCAACTGTTCTGCCTCATTGGTGGGATGAGCCATTTGGCTGCCTCTGGTTTCCCACTAGCAAACAGTAACTGATTGGGAAGATGAACAGGATTAGCTAAATGATTAATCTCCATCTGCTCTAATACATAAATTATGAAATCATACTCATCATACCAATTTTTGCCAATTCAAAATGTGAACCCATTGGCAAAAAAAAAAAAAAAAAAGGAAAAGAAAAATTTCCAGTCACCGAGAGATGTTCCACTGTAGTCTTTCAAAATGTTTTTAAAACAGTTTGAAAAATCTTACTTTCAAAGTTTGAATTTTATCCCAGTCCATTGTCCTCCTGCCCGACTGTTGACAAATCATCACCACAGGGGATCTGGTGAGAAAAACATGGGTGGCCCTAGGCTGGTATCTGGCCAAATCAAGTATACATTTGGCGAATATGGCCAGACTGTAGGCTACCTAGGTGGCTTTGTGGTCTCATGTGATCAAAGTCGGGGATAGATTAAGGAGACTAGATCTTTCTTTAGTAGATGGAATATAGCAATTCCAATTACTGACATCCTAAAAGCTTCTCTGGAGATGCAGAGCAAATTCTCTATACATTTAATGTTTTCTACATTAAAGGATATTTTGCTTCCACAACTGAAGTGAATTATGGAAACAAAACCTCCTTTAAGATAAGCCTGAAATTATCATTGTATTTGACAATGGGAGGAAAAAAGCTGAGACGTTTTCAGAATCTACCAGCAATGCATCCCCCAGAGAATACACAATTTGCATGAATCCCCCTGAGCTAGGGAAGCTGAGGATATCTGAAAGAGAAGGGGGAAAATGTATTTTAAAAGCTTCCCAGAAACAGATTAAGAGTTAAGAAAAAGAAAAATCCTGTTAACAACTGGAATGGGCAGACACCGCTCTGCCAGCCTTAAAAGAGTCAGATGAGAGGCCAGACACGGATTTCTGCTTTTCCGAAAGTCACCCAGACATAGACAAGGATAAAGTAAAAACGAGAAATGTAGAACAACATGATCCCTTTATTTTGATAATTTAGAAAATAAAAAGAAATGATTGCAGTGTAGGCAAGCAGCAGAGGCCTAAAACTTCAATACTTTACATGGAAAAGGAGACTGGAGGTGTTTGAAGAAAAAGCAATTTCAATTGCAGTGGCTTTTAACCTTTTGGGAGCATTGAATTGCCTTGAGAATCTGGAAAATGCTATGCATCCTCTTCCCCCGAATACAAATGCATGATTTTCCATTCCATTCATGAAATTTCACTCATAATTATTTTGCACGTATGACAGGTTAATAACTCTTACACAGAATAGAGTTTCTGGCTTTGTTTTGTTTTGTTTTTCATCTTTTTGTTTGGTTTGTTTGGTAATGAGTTTTGCAAACCTTGGGAAGGTAGTGTGAGGCAAGGTTATTGGTGAGGGAAGGTGATTAACTGTGTTCTAAATAAATAGTAGTTATGGTGAATCATTTCCCTCCCATCCTACCTCAAAGAAAAAATTTGGATAAATAAAATATGTACGAAATTACAATGACATACCAAGAATGGTGAATTCTTAATGCTCCTCAATGTAAACTGGCATGTAAACACATGGACATTTTTCTTGCATCTCTACTTATTGGTTATATTTGTTTCAATCATTAAGATCTTTGAGACTGGGCGCGATGGCTCATGCCTGTAATCCCAGCACTTTGGGAGGCTGAGGCGGGCGGATCACCTGAGGTAGGGAGTTCAAGACCAGCCTAACCAACATGGAGAAACCCTGTCTCTACTAAAAATACAGACTAGCCGGGCGTGGTGGCGCATGACTGTAATCCCAGCTACTAAGGAGGCTGAGGCAGGAGAATTGCTTGAACCTGGGAGGTGGAGGTTGTAGTGAGCCGAGATTGTGCCATTGCACTCCAGCCTGGGCAACAAGAGTGAAACTCCATCTCAAAAAAAAAAAAAAAAAAAAAAGATCCTTGAAAAGCATCATATCATTCATTGTGTCTTTCTTATGTCTTTTACTTAAGACAGTTACCTGGTGTGGCATGACACAATATCTCCCAGCCTCTAAAATATTATTTCTCAATCATATTTTGCCATAGGAATGATCTTGTCTGGTCACATTCCAGAAGCAGGAGGAAAAAAAAATAGCATTTCTGAAGCCAATGAGTGCCAGTCACTTGAAGATGGTAATCTGAACAGGAAGAGCACTGTGACTTACTACTGTCCTTCAGAGAAAAAGGAAGAGGTGCACGTCACAGACGGGAAGTCAGTGAACCAGAGGCAAAGGTACTGAAACTTTATTTGGCAAATATGAAACATCCGTTGTGCCAAGAGCACAGATCCAGTTTTTGCAAGATGCAAATTTCATGGCAAACAACAAAAGCCTGAAGAACCACTTAGCTAATAACTGACTTCGTACTCAGCATCCCTTTTCTGTTTTTCTGCTGTGACAGGCCTTTATTGAAAGCCAGAATATATAGATCAGTCAAAACCTCAGAACAAAAAGGTAGTGGGCCTGAGCTCAGAATGTCAGGCAATTAATGCACTAGTGTTGGCATCAGCCTCCAAATCCTTGAAAATATAAAATACTTGAACACTCGTCTCTCTTATGAATGAGTTCCCCATCATATATTGGTTTCCTTAATGAAGATCAGAAAGGAGTTTCGGAAAATGATATGCTTAGCCAATTTAACACCAGCTGTTTGATTCTCCAAGTTTCCTTACCCTAAATGACTTTACAACAAAGTCAAGTAGAAACGCCGCTGAACAATCCTGTCATCCTTTCCTCACCCTGGCCGAATGAGGCTTTTTTTGGATTGCAAAAATTGATTAAAATTAAAAGACATCGTTTAATTAATCTTCTGTGCCATGAGACTCCATCAGGCTGTCTACAAAGACCACTGGGAGGCTGAGGATCACTTGAGCCCAGGAGTTTGAGGCTATAGTGAGCCTCAAAGGGTCTCTGCACTGCAGCCTGGGTGACAGAGCGAGACCTGTCACACACACACACACACACACACACACACACAAAGACTTTTAGCCACATTTCCAGATTTCAATGTAAATGGTACTTGGGGAATGCTTTTTGACCCAAGAAAGGAAACTAGGTCTGAGTGTTTATCGTTTGTAGATTGGTGAATAGATTCAGAAAAGCTAATAACACAAATTTGAGAGTGGCATTTTGTGGGCATAGATTTCACATTAAAACTGAGACCAAAAGACTAGTGTCTGTTATCTTGACATTTTGTGGAGTTAAAACTAAGGACAAAGGCTGTTTAGAGAGCACAGCGGTGATCTGTACTTATGAAATTTAGTGACCCTCAGTTGCTTGGCAAAACTACAAAAAAAAATTGTGACCTGCTTTTTATACAGGTGAATAAACAATTCAGGTATCAAACAATGAACCCCTTGATTTCAAAGGACAGTGATGTGTTTGACGATAAGAGACAATTCCTATAATTCTTTTGTATTCCAGTGAAGTTTATAGCATGAACGACTTGTTTTTTTGGTACAATCCTGTACATTAATTGTTACCAGCACGTATCTCGGAGCTCCTGTCCACACAATAGTCATTACTAACACCTGAGTTGATCTGCACAAGGGCACGGATTACACGGGTAAGTGAAATAGCATCCACATTCATCACCGATTTCAGTTATGTCTAAGAATATAGGATCAAATTTTTATGTTCAGACTATAATCAAAAAATATTTCTAGAGGATACTTTGTTACTATACAGGTGTGATAGTAATCAGATTATCTAATGACTATAGGAAGAATTGTGCTTTCAAATTAAGGAACTGGCCTGGGTGTCATGGCCCACGCCTGTAATCCCAGCCCTTTGGGAGGCCAGAGTAGGAAGATCGCTTGAGACCAGGAGTTTGAGGCCAGCCTTGGCAACATAGCAGGACCTCGTCTCTATTTCTAAAAAAATAATTTTTATATACATATTTTATATATATTATATATATTTTTATAATATATATATTTTTAAATTTAGGGACTGGCCCTTAATTTAGCAGTGATGTCATATAAGGGAACAAAAATCACATCATTTGAAGTAGCATAAGAAAAAAAATGGCTCTGCTACTGTTTATAGGAACATTATATATGAGTGTATATATAATATTTAAAAAACATATTAAAATAATGTTTTACGTCTGTAAGTACAGTATATGTTGCTATATGTTATATATATGCACACATATATACAGATTATATTACATGTATATATGTATACATAATATATAATCATGTTATCTGTATATATACATGAAATTATATTATATATAATTTTATCACTGCATTACTTATATCTTGGCAAAATTTTATTGAAATATAACTCACACAAAGTGCATAAATGCTAAGTGCAATACAGAGTTCAGTGAATTTTACAAAGTGAATGCCTCTGTGAAACCACCCCCCAGATCAAGACATAGAATATTAATAACACCTTCAAAACCTTTCTCATGTCTATTCACCTTTACTACCCTATAGAAAAAGACAAGTGTTCCCACATTTTCTATTACCTGGAGAAGATTCTTCCTTAAATGTTAGAAGAATTGGTGAGTAAAAAAATCTGGGCCTAGAATTTTGTCGGGGGAGGGATGGGAGTAGTTTGTGGAAAGGTTTGTCAGATTTTATTTTTCTTCTTATTTTGATTTTATTAAATAATCCTTTTTATTTGAAGAAGTGTGTCCATTTGACAATAACTCTTTAAATTTTGGTGTAAGCTGCTCATTAGATTCTTTTATTAACTGCTTTAATATCTGTAGGTTTTGTGGTAAATCTGTCAATTTGTGTTTTTCTATTTTTATGATATCAGTTTTTCTAGTAATTTATATCTTATTAGAATTTTCAAAGTCAACTTTGGCTTTATTGATTTTCTTTTTATTATGTTTGCTGTTTGATATCTGCTGTTAGCATTATTTCATTTCTTATTTTTCTTTGGGTTTAATTTGCTATCCTTTTTCTAGCTTATTTGATGAATATTAGACTTTTTTTTTTTTTTTTGAGACAGTCTTGCTCTGTTGTCCATGCTGGAATGCAATGGCGTGATCTCGGCTCACTGCAACCTCCACCTCCTAGGGTCAATCAATTCTTCTGCCTCAGCCTCCCAAGTAGCTGGGAATACAGGCACCCACCACCACACCTGGCTAATTTTTGTATTTTTAGTAGAGACCAGGTTTCACCATATTGGCCCAGCTGGTCTCGAACTCCTGACCTTGTGATCCACCCATCACGGCCTCCCAAAGTGCTGGGATTACAGGTGTGAGCCATGGCACCTGGCTGAATATTAGACATTTTGTAGATCTTTTTTCTTTTCTAATATGTGCATATATATTTCACTCTAGGCCTTCAGATGCATCCCTTACATTAAGTACCATTTCTCGTTATCATTCATTTCAAAATATTTTCTTATTTACTGATATTCTTTTTTTTTTTTTTTTTTTTTTTTTTTTTTTGAGACAGGGTTTCACTCTGTCCCCCAGGCTGGAGTGCAGTTGCACGATCTCAGCTCACCTCAACCTCCACCACCCGGGTTCAAGTGATTCTCCTGTCTCAGCCTCCTGAGTAGCTGGGATTACAGGCATGCACCACCATGCCCAGCTAATTTTTGTATTGTTAGTAGAAATGGGGTTTCGCCATGTTGGCCAGGCTGGTCTCGAACTCCTGACTTCAAGTGATCCGCCCACCTCGGCCTCCCAAAAGTGCTGGGATTACGGGCGTGAGGCACCACGCCTGGCCAGTTGTTTTCTTTTCAATTTTATCCAGCTTTCATAGCAGTTCCCAATATGGGAATTAGTTTGATTGAAGCCATGTCCTCATGGCTAGAAGTAGTTTCTTCTTCTTCTTCTTGTTTTTTTGTTTGTTTGTTCTTTGTTGTTGTTGTTGTTTTGGTTTGTTTGTTTGTTTTTCGAGATGGAGTCTCACTCTGTTGCCCAGGCTGGAGTGCAGTGGCACAATCTTGGCTCACTGCAATCTCCGCCTCCCGGGTTCAAGCAGTTCTCCTGCCTCAGCCTCCTGAGTAGCTGGGATTTACAGGTATGGGCCACTATGCCCGGCTATTTTTTGTATTTTTAGTAGAGAAGGAGTTTCACCACATTGACCAGTCTGGTCTTGAACATCTGACCTCAGATGATCCACCCACCTTGGCCTCCCAAGGTGCTGGGATTACAGACGTGAGCCACCACGCCCGGCAGAAGTAGTTTCTTCAACCAGCATTTAAACCTACTGAAGTTTCACAGATTCAATTCTTGTTCAAAAAGTTCTCCTCCTTTTAACCTCCTAACTGCTATGGGAGAAAGCTGCTTCCCTTCCTTCTTGGCCTTGAGTTTGGCCTTGTGGCTTTCTTTGGCTTTGGGGATATTAGCAGACATGATGCAAGCAGGGACTTTCGACGCATTTGCTTGGCTCCGCATGCCTTCTCAGTCTCTTGCTATGCCATTGGAAGAGCTCGCCTAGTTGGCCTGCTGCTCCAAGAAGGATGAGAAACATGTGGAGCAGCTTCCTGACCAATCCACAAACCTACAGCTTAAAGCAGAACTGCCCGGCTGTGCCCCCGGCTAAATCGAGAAACTCAAGCCTTCCCACAAACTCATGAATGAGCTCAGCCACACACAGCGGAGTCACCATAGCCAACCAGCATGTCCTGGAGAAATAAATTACCGTGGCTTTAAGATACTGATTTTGGGGGTGTGTGTTATGTACCATTATTTCAATAAGAAGAAAATACTAACGGATACACAGGACTTCTGTTTTAAAAGTTTATAACTGCCCTCCCTCCCACCTACAGCATAATCAGCTTTCCGTGAACATACCTTAGAAAATGGGGACAGTTGGCTGGGTGTAATGGCTCACGCCCGTAATCCCAGAACTTTGGGAGGTCAAGGTGGGCACATCACGAGGTCAGGAGTTTGAGACCAGCCTGGCCAACATAATGAAACCCCGTCTCTACTAAAAATACAAAAAATTAGCTGGGCGTGGTGGCGGGTGCCTGTAATCCCAGCCACTCGGGAAGCTGAGGCAGGAGAATCGCTTGAACCCGGGAGGCGGAGGTTGCAGTGAGCTGAGATTGTGCCACTGCACTTCAGCTCTGGCGACAGAGCAAGACTCCACCTCAAAAAAAGAAAGAAAGAAAGAAAATGGGGACAGTGAGGTCAAGGGTACGTGCACGTTTGACAGCTCCACACTCCGTTCCTCTCTCTCTCTCTCTCTCTTTCTCTCTCTCTCTCTCTCAATACTGGAAACCATTATTCTTTGGCAGCATAAATTCCAGTGACACAAATACTAACACGGACATTTTAATCAATTTGTTCTCACTAAAGGGGGAAAGCTGGACTCAATATTCAAGATTCATTCGTTCTATATAACACTAGAAAAATAAAAGAGTTGGACAAAAAGACAGCAAGGCAATCTTTAGTACCGCTAACTTTGAAAAGAGAAGAGTTATTGTCCTAACATAGTAAGAAAATTCTTATTCCACATGTATAGAGATTAACTATGTTAACACAAGTCCAATTTTAGCCCACTGATGTGGAAAAATGCAAATCAAAAATCTGGACACATTCTCTTGCGTATAGCATGTCTGAGAATAGCCTGACTTTTGAAACATAGTTGTTTCTCATAAGTGCAAATAGTAAACTGCCTACAAGCCAACGAAACCACATGGCACCATTGGCATGATATATATATATATATATGTAAAAAAAAGGTCACAGTAGTGCTGGACTTTAGTAGGTTTCTTGAATTGGAAAGACTAAATGTTACCACAAATACCGTTAACAATCTCCTATTTGAAGACAAAGTGTGCCAATCATAGAATCCCTGACAAAGATTATTGCTCACAATAGGCCCCAGTATTCCTCAAAGGAATCTAGTGCTTTTGCCAAAGCACGAGATTTCAAATACAAAACAGGCCCACAGGAATCCTAAGAGTTTGGACTTAATGAAAAAAAAAATTCAAACAATAAAACGCAAGCCTACATAGGTTTGGTTTTTTGTTGTTTGTTTGATGGGGGGCAAATAAAGCACATTTAATAAATTGTCAATTTGTTTTAAAAATTTCTTGTTATAAAATAATAAAGAGCATTTTGAAAGTCGATGTTTTAATTTTTAAGTTTACTTTTATTTCTTTTATCTCCTGTTTTATTTTCAGGGTTACATGGGCAGGATGTGCAGGTTTGTTACATAGTTAAACGTGTGTCATGGGGATTGGCTGCACAGATCATCCCATTACCTATGTATTAAGCCCAGCATCCATTAGTTATTCTTCCTCATGCTCTCTCTCCTCCCACCCTCAACCCCGACAGGCCCCAGGGTATGTTGTTCCCCCCTGCATGTGTCCATGTGTTCTTATCATTCTGCTCCCACTTATAAGTGAGAACATGCGGTATTTGATTTTCTGTTCCTGCCTTAGTTTGCTGAGAATAATGGCTTACAGTTTCATCCCTGTCCCTGCATAGGACATGATCTTATTCCTTTTTATGACTGTATAGTATTCCATGGTATATATGTACCACATTTTCTTTTTCCAGTCTATCATTGATAGGTATTTAGATTCCATGTCTTTGCTATCATGAATAGTGTTGCAGTGAACACACGCATGCATGTATCTTTATAATAAAATGATTTATATTCCTTTGGGTATGTACCCAGTAATGGGATTGCTGGGTCAAATGGTATTTCTGGTTCTAGGTCTTTGAGGAATCACCACACTGTCTTCCACAATGGTTTACCTAATTTACACTCCCACCAACAGTGTAAAAACCTTCCTTTTTCTCCACAAACGCACCAGCATCAATTGTTTTTTTGCTTTTTAACAATAGCCATTCTCACTAGTGTGAGATGGTATCTCATTGTGCTTTTGATTTGCATTCCTCTAATGATCAATGATGTTGAGCTTCTTTTCGAATGTTTGTTGGCTGCCTGTATGCCTTCTTTTAAGAAGTGTATGTCGAGGCCAGGCGCAGTGACTCACACCTGTAATCCCAGCACTTTGGGAGGCTGAGGCGGGCAGATCACGAGGTTAAGAGATCGAGACCATCCTGGCTAACACGGTGAAACCCCATCTCTACAAAAAAATACAAAAAAATTAGCCAGGCATGGTGGCGGGCACCTGTAGTCGCAGCTACTCAGGAGGGTGAGGCAGGAGAATGGCGTGAACCCGGGAGGTGGAGCTTGCAGTGAGCCGAGATCGCACCACTGCACTCCAGCCTGGGCGACAGAGCGAGACTCCGTCTCAAAAAAAAAAAGGAAGAAGTGTATGCCAGGCACTGTGGCTCACACCTGTAATCCCAGCACTTTGGGAGGCCAAGGAGGCCAGATCACGAGGTCAGGAGATCAAGATCATCCTGGCTAACACGGTGAAACCCTGTCTCTACTAAAAATACAAAAAATTAGCTGGGCGAGGTGGCGGGCGCCTGTAGTCCCAGCTACTCGGGAGGCTGAGGCAGGTGAATGGCGTGAACCCAGGAGGCGGAGCTTGCAGTGCGCCGAGATCACACCACTGCACTCCAGCCTGGGCGACAGAGCGAGACTCAGCCTAAACAAAAAAATAAACTAACTAACTAACTAACTAAATAAATAAATAAATAAATGTGTGCATTTATGTCCTTTGCTAATTTTTTAATGGCGTTGTTTTTTTCTTGTAAATTTAAGTTCTTTGTAGATGCTTGATATTAGACCATTGTCAAATGGGTAAATTGTAAAAATTTTCTCCCATTCTGTAGGTTGTCTGTTTACTCTGATGATAGTTTCTTTTGCTGTGCAAAAGCTCTTTAGTTTCATTAGATCCCATTTGTCAATTTTTGCTTTTGTTGCAGTTGATTTTGGCATCTTCCTCATGAAATATTTTCCCATGCCTATGTCCTAAGTTTTCTTCTAGGGTTTTTGTAGTTTTGGGTTGTACATTTAAGTGTTTAATCCATCTTGAGTTGATTTTTGTATATGGTTTAAAGAAAGGGTCCAGATTCAATTTTCTGCATATGGCTAGCCAGTTCTCCCAGCAGCATTTATTAAACAGAGAATCCTTTCCCCATTGCTGATTTTTGTCAGGTTTGTTGAAGATCAGATGGTCGTAGGTGTTTGGTATTATTTCTGGGTTCCCTATTCTGTTCCATTGGTCTATTTGTCTGTTCTTCTACCAGTACCATGCTGTTTTGGTTAGCATAACCTTGTAGCATAGTTCGAAGTTGGGTTGTGTGATGCCTCCAGCTTTGCTCTTTTTGCTGAGGATTGTCTTGGCTATTCGGGCTGTTTTTTGGTTCCGTATGAATTTTAGAGTAGTTTTTCTAATTCTGTGAAGAATGTCAATGGTAGTTTAATGGGAATAGTATTGAATCTATAAATTGCTTTGGACAGTGTCGCCATTTTCACAATATTGATTCTTCCTATCCATGAGCATGGAATGTTTTTTCATTTGTTTGCGTCCTCTCTGATTTATTTGAGCAGTGGGTTGTAGTTCTCCTTGAAGAGGTCCTTCACTTCCCTTGTTAGCTGTATTCCAAGGTATCTTATTCCTTTTGCAGCAATTGTGAATGGGAGTACATTCATTATTTGGCTCTCTGCTTGCCTGTTGTTGAGAAATGCTAGTGATTTTTGCACATTGATTTTGTATCCTGATACTTTGCTGAAGTTGTGTATCAGCTTAAGAAGTTTTGGGCTGAGACGATGGGGTTTTGGATCATGTCATCTGAAACAAAGGTAGTTTGACTTCCTCTCTTCTTATCTGAATACCTTTATTTCTTTCTCTTGCCTGATTAACCTGGCCAGAACTTCTATGTTGAATAGGAGTGGTGAGAGAGGGCATCCTTGTCTTGTGCTGGTTTTCAAGGGGAATGCTTCCAGCTTTTGCCCATTCAGTATGATACTGGTTGTGGGTTTGTCATATCTGGCTCTTATTATTTTGAGATATGTTCCTTCAATATCTAATTTACTGGAAGTTTTTAATATAAAGGGATGTTGAATTTTATCGAAGGCCTTTTCTGCATCTATTGAGATAATCGTGGTTTTTTGTCTTTAGTTCTGCTTATGTGATGAGTCACTTTTATTGATTTGCGTATGCTGAACCAAGCGTGCATCCTACTTTATCAACGAAGCCTACTTTATCGAGGTGAATCAGCTTTTTAATGTGCTGCTGGATTTGGTTTGCCAGTGTTTTTTTTGAGGATTTTCGCACTGATGTTCATGAAGCATGTATTTTACTTTTTAATAAGAGACAGGGTCTCCCTATGTTGGCCAGTTTGGTCTTGAACTCCCGGACTGAAACAGTCCTCCTGCCTCAGCCTCCCAAAGTGCTGGGATTATAGGCGTGAGCCACTGCACCTAACCTGAAAGTGAATTTTAAAACCACTTTTTACCAAGAACTCAGAAGAAACAAACTGCTAAGGTACTCACCCTGTGCTCAATACAAACTGCAATAAAAGACAAAATGTCAAATATAAGACACAGTTTTTATAGCCTTTATCTTTAGAATCCAAGGGCTGAAAAGGGGCTGAAACTGGACTGGAGATCAAGTTTCTTTACCTCAGCCAGTTCCTTAATATTCTTATCAATTTTCTTAAAAGGTTTTTTTCAGCCAGGTGTTGCGGCTCATGCCTGTAATCCCAGCACTTTGGGAGGCTGAGGCGAGCAGATCACCTGAGCCCAGGAGTTGAAGGCCAGCCTGGGCAACATGGCAAAACTTTGTCATTGCAAAAAATGCAAAAAGGAACTAAGTGTGGTGGTACATGCCTGTAGTCCCAGCTCCTTGGAAGGCTTGGAAGGATTGTCTGAGCCTAGCACTCCAGCTTGGGTGACAGAGCGAGATCTTGTCTCCAAAAAAAAAAAAAAGTTTTTTTTCTATTTTCTGGATATGAAAATAAGACCTGTTAATTATTGAAAGATATATAAAAATATACAATGAAACTAAAAACAACCTGTAATTTTATCATCTAAGTATCTGTGTATATATTTAGGTATCTATGTATGTATATGATTTTTAAATGAAATTAAGTTCATAGCATGTATATAGATTTGTGCTCTGATGTTTACACTTAATATATCAGGAACACATTAATATGTGATTTAACATTTTCTGATTTTTGATGTTTTTCTGCTGTTTCCTTTGTGTGTGTGTCTTCTGTAACAAAGACTGTTTTATTTTATTTGTCTTGTTCACAAATTCTATTCATAACAATTTTGAAGGCACTGAAAGCAGATTATTTTTTAAATTATCTTAACAAAATAGTTTATCTTTCAAGAATACTTACAATATATAGTTTTGATATATACTTATGCTTTATATTTGTATACTTTTGAATAGTATGATACATCCTTTTGTAATGAAATATACAATAATCGTCTAGACTTCATGGTTTTCAATACTCACTTCAAAATCTTTCAAGCCATGGCATGTCTATGTTTTGATGTCATTTTTTTTAGGTATTCTTCAAATACACTAATAGTATATTTGAAAATGTATTTCAGGTTTCCTCCCACATAAAAGTTAATGAATGTAATGAATGAATACCATAAAATTTTAAATCACAATTCTTTTTTTTTGAGACGGAGTCTCACTCTGTCGTACAGGCTGGAGTGCAGTGGCGCAATCTTGGCTCACTGCAACCTCCGCCCCCTGGGTTCAAGCAATTCTCCTGCCTCAGCCTCCCTAGTAGCTGGGATTACAGGTGTGCGCCACCATGCCCAGCTAATTTTTGTATTTTTTGTAGAGACGGGGTTTTGCCATGTTGGCCAGGCTGGTCTCAAACTCCTGACCTCAAGTGATGTCTCCACCTCGGCCTCCCAAAGTGCTGGGATTACAGGCGTGAGCCGCCGCGCCTGGCCTCTAAATCACAATGTGTTTTAATTAAACATTTATAAATACTTGCATTGCATGGAGAAGTTTGAGGTCAGTCTAATACGTGTACGGCACTTTTCAAAGTAAACATGTTATTCTCTCTGCCAAAGTATTTACCATTTTTTCCCTTTGTCTCATTTCCAAACAATTTGCTTGAATTTGTCTAGAGTGTTTCTCTTATGTATTTTTTTCCTAGAAACATAGTCAGACTGAAAAGTCTACATATGTAGATTTCAATCACGTTAGATGATTTCCTCAAATACATCTTTGAGTACTGCTTATAATTTGGGGTACAGGGGCGCATTTTCTTCAGGGCCTCTCAAAATTCCCGGCTATCTCCCTGTACTCTGTCTCACAACGTCTTCTCTTTCATCATTTTCATACATTTTATTTTTCTCTGCTTCATGGAAGGGAAAAGCTTGTCCTCTGCATCATTGATTTGTTTCTCTGGAGTCTCATTTCTGTCTTTCTCTCTGCAATGTAAATTTCAATCCAATATTGGACCTTCAGTTTCTTGTCTCTCTTAGTACTCTCACCTAGCTTTTTAATCTTATTCTGCAACTGCTCATTTTAAATCACTCTCTCCTTATGGCTTTCTACTTCTGTTACATACAGGTTGTATCTTCTTACATTCTGCCAAACTGTCAGCAGTTTTCCGAAAACTTTTCCTGGACCTAGAGTAAGGCCTGTTCCGAGGTCACCTCTTAATCAAATTCCTTAAGATGCTAATAGTTGCCAGGCGCGGTGGCTCATGCCTGTAATTCCAGCACTTTGGGAGGCCGAGGCAGGCGGATCACGAGGTCAGGAGATCAAGACCATCCTGGCTAACACGGTGAAACCCCGTCTCTGCTAAAAATTTTAAAAAATCAGCTGGGTGCAGTGGCACGTGCCTGTAGTCCCAGCTACTCGGGAGGGCGAGACAGGAGAATCACTTGAACCCAGGAGGCGGAGGTTGCAGTGAGCCGAGATTGTGCCACTGCACTCCAGCTTGGGCGACAGAGTGAGACTCGGTCTCAAAAAAAAAAAAAAAAGAAAGAAAAAAAAAAAAGAGAGACGCTAATAATTCTGGTCCCTGACCCTATAGCATTTTATCACATATCCCCCCTGTTTTATCCCCTTTAACTCTAGAATGACAAAAGATCTCACCATTTCAAAGTCAATGGACTGCCTGGATTACTCTCGGCTCATTCTATTCATGTTGATTCTGGTGGAATCCACTTTTCCTATATTTTGAGGGAAGGTGGGTTGACGTGAGAATCTCTCAACCAACTCCAAACTCTGAAAAACTTTCATTCAGCTGGAATGACAGCGGATCTTCTATTACGTTGCCTGGTGACCTGAGAGAACACCAAGTACTTAACAACCATAATTCTCAACAAGAACATCCGTCAACATTTTCCTTCATCTACTTCTTGCTCTTTGCATGGGAGGCCTTCCCCTGTAAGGCAACCTAATGCACTGATATCTCCCCTGCCTTCATCTTTCTGCCTACTTCTCCTCTGAGAGTCCCTGTTTGGGTGTAGGGAGAAAGAAAGGAACTGAGAGAAGAGACAGCATATTACCAGATAGCTAGAAGAGAGGCTTTTGAATGTTCTCACGAAAAAAGGAATGATAAATGCATGAGATGATGAACGTACTAAGTACCCTAATTTGATCATTATACATAATATATATGTATCAAAACATCAAGTTGTACTTCATAAATGTGCATAATTACAATGTGTCCATTTAAAAAAATAATTAATTGTTTTTAAAAAAGAGAAATAAAATGTTTCCCGACCTAATTTCAGGCAATCAGTCTTGGTCTGTTTTGGTGGAATAACTCTAGCATCTGCATGCTTTTTATTTTTTATTTTTATTTATTTATTTTTTTGGAGACAGAGTCTCGCTCTATCACCCAGGCTGGAGTGCGGTGGCATCTCAGCTCACTGCAACCCCCACCTCCCGGGTACAAGCAATTCTCATGCCTCAGCCTCCTAAGTAGCTTGGGACTACAGGCGTGTGGAGGCTGAGGCACAAGAATTGCTTGTACCCGGGAGGTGGAGGTTGCAGTAAGCTGAGACGCCACCGCACTCCAGCCTGGGTGATAGAGCGAGACTCTGTCTCCAAAAAAATAAATAAATAAAAATAAAAAATAAAAAGCATGCAGCTGCTAAACAGCTAATTTTTTGCATTTTTAGTAGAGATGGGGTTTTGCCGTGTTGGCCAGGCTGGTCCCAAACTCCTGGCTTCAAGTGATCCACCCACCTCGGCCTCCCAAATGCATGTTTTTTAATTAGGCATTTTTCAATTAATTTAATATGGTTGATTCTTCAGGTAGCAATTCCATTCAGAATTGTATTTTTTGGTATGCTAATTTGTCCCTCTTCTTTGGCATCTTGATGGGATGACCATCAGGAGCAGCTGGATTAGAGACTGCTAATTTAGGTCCTTTTAACCTAAGGCCTCTCTTCCTGTTTTTTGTTTTTTGTTTTTTTTGAGACAGAGTCTCGCTCCTGTCATCCGGGCTGGAGTGCAGTGGCACATCTCGGCTCACTGCAATTTTCACCTCCTGTTCAAGTGATTCTTCTGCCTCAGCCTCCTGCATAGCTGGGATTACAGGCACCCATGACGGCACCCGGCTAATTTTTTGTATTTTTAGTAGAGATGGGGTTTCACCATGTTGGCCAGGCTAGTCTTGAACTCCTGACCTCAGATGATCTGCCCACCTCAGCCTCCCAAAGTGCTGAGATTACAGGCATGAGCCACTGTGCCTGGCCCTCTCTTCCTATCTTTAAGTGTAAACGTTTTCCCTCATAACTGCCCTCAGAATACCAATACCACAGCTGATATTTGTAGCACGAATATTTGATCAATGCAAACTTGATAGAAATAGCCTTACTATGAAAAATTCAAGCCAACCTCCCAACCTCAAAAGAAGTCTCCTCACAACGTGGTAACAACTTCATTTTAGCCACTGGAGAGCAGATGACACCTTACTATGCTCTACGGTTGCACTCCTATACCTAAGTGCCTAGGAGCAGCATTTGCTATTGAAATTTCTCAGATACATGGAAGGGAATCTCCTGAATCTATATTCTGTCTTATCTATAAAGCATCCCATTATGTCAAACAAAACCCGTTTACATGAATGAATTCAAATTGATAAGAAAGAGGGCCAGGCGCAGTGGCCTGTAATCCCAGCACTTTGAGAGGCCAACGTGGACAGACCACTTGAGGTCAGGAGTTCAAGACCACCCTGGCCAACATGGTAAAACCCTGTCTCTACTAAAAACGCAAAAATTAGCCAGTGGTGCATGCCTGTGATTCCAGCTACACAGGTAGGTGAGGCAGGAGAGTCACTTGAACCCAGGAGGAGGAGGTGGCAGTGAACCGAGGTAGCGCCACTGCACTCCAGCCTGGGGGGATGAATGCGGCTCTGTCTCAAAAACTAACTAACTAACTAAATAAATAAATGAAAAGAAAAGAAATTGGCTGGGTGTGGTGGCTCACGCCTGTAATCCCAACACTTTGGGAGGCCGAGGTATGTGGATCACTTGAGGTCAGGAGTTCAAGATCAGCCTGGCCAACATGATGAGACCCCGTCTCTACTAAAAATACAAAAACTTAGCTGGGCATGGTGGTGTGCACTTGTAATCCCAGCTACTCGGGAGGCTGAAGCAAGAGAATCGCTTGAACCCAGGAGGCGGTAGTTGCAGTGAGCCAAGATCGCGACACTGCACTCCAACCTGGGTGACAAAGCAAGACTCTGTCTCAAAAAAAAAAAAAAAAGGAAGAAATTGATAGGAAGAGTTGCATTATTTTTGACAGTGATATAATAGGAATCAAAAACAATATTTTGCAGTGTGTGTTAATTTTACTCTTATTGTAAGTCAGTTATTTTACTTTACAACAATTATAATCATCTTCATAGTATTCATACATCTTTATGTATAAATAAATCATATCATTTATTGAATAACCACATTATTTCAACTGTGATTGATTATCTAAATTGATTGAAATATAGAAATATAATTAGGCAACCATTGTTCTGATAAATGTTTGTTAACACATAAATGAATCTAGAATTAAGGGTTCAGGAGTCTATGGATTCTATAAAATTGATTGTGAATTTCTGAGTGTATGTGAGTTTTTTTTAATCAAGAGGGTTTGAGTTTTCAACAGATTCTCAAAGCAATTTATGACCAAAAGAAGGTTAAACACCATGCTTTAGGGATTTTTAAAAGTATATATTAATAACATTTCCTCTCCATCCCCCATTATTTTGAAATGATGAATCCAGTGCTCATGAGGCCAAAGACTTAAATATTATCAGAAAAGCTAAGAGGCTCATCTTGGAAAAACATACCACATTGTCACTTACAGTCTCTAAGTCCAGGTTATGGCCCTTACAACCTCTCAGAACCTTGGTTTCCTTATCTGTAAAATAAGAAGTTTGGGCTAGAAAGATGAATTCTTAGATCACTCCCAGCTGTAAAATTGTAGGATTAGTATTGAAGACTCACACATAAACTTTAAAAAAATAAAATAAACAAACAAGACACATGGTTATAATATCCTTGCAACAGACACGATTTTATTAACATAATCAATGAAGTATTTAAACAGGAAGTTAAACTCTGTGAGTTCTCAGAATCTCATAAAATCCATTGTCTCTCAAATTCAAGCCTCTTGAAAGCTAGATATTTGATCTCAGATGAAATGACTTGATCAGTTTATGTATTCTACTGTTTAAATTCTTGTCTGTTACAATGTTTTGCATGATGTTCAAAAAGCTTAATGAACAAAAGCAAACATTGTGGTGACCTATTGAGATGAAATAAGCAAAGTAAGGAGCAAAAAATGGTATAAACACATTGGCTCATCTAATCTAAACATGTGGTCGAGAGAAAAAGAAAACAATCCTTGTTCCCTGTAAATTAATTGTTATAATTTAACAGCAGGACAATCAAAATGTGGTTGGAAATGAGTGGTATATAATCATTGTGAAGAGGAAAGAGAGAAGCTGGCTGAGAAATACTGGATGGGTTTAAACATTGCAGAAGATCCTTGTTTATTTGCTCTATAAGGCAGTGCAGGCACTCCGTTAGCCAGCACCCCAGGATAAACCTATAAATATTTACTATCTCCTGGCTCAACTGCTGGACAAGTGACTGAAAATTACTCACTTCACTTGACTAGAGCTTGAACCACACATCTGATATTTGCAGACTCTTTTGAATAAGGGTCATATCACAAAAAGTTATTTTTTTTAAATCAAGCAGATTTTTAGTTTGCAGATTAAACCATTGCTCCATGTGCATTTGATGGGCTAAGAATGGAGTCCACTAGACATGAAAACAGAGGAGTTGATTTTTTTATCTAATAATAGAATTATTTGGCCAGGCATGATGGCTCATGCCTGTAATCCCAGCACTTTGGGAGGCCGAGGTGGGTGGATCACCTGAGGTCAGGAGTTTGAGACCAGCCTGGCCAACATGGTGAAACCCCATCTCTACTAAAAATACAAAAAATTGGCCAGGTATGGTGGCAGGTGCCTGTAATCCCAGCTACTTGGGAGGCTGAGGCAGGAGAATTACTTCAACGCAGGAGGCAGAGGTTGCAGTGAGCTGAGATTGGGCCATTTCACTCCAGCCTGGGTGACAAGAGCAAGATTCCAACTCAAAAAAGAAAAAAAGAAAAAAAAAAAACCTCGAATTATTTGCTTTAAAGTGGAGGTATTAGGCTAAACTTATTGCCAGAGGCAAGATTTGAGTAAAAAGACCTAAGCAGATAATAACTATGTCTTCAGGTGAGAAATGAACATGCACATAATTGAGTTACTTCTGAAGCCATATAAATTGGTTTGTTTCTGATTATTGGGAAGATTGTTAGAAAATCATAATTTATTTTCCTATTTTGAAGTTTTCCTCATAATTTATTATTGTAGTCTTCTCTACAACCTTAAGAGAGACGGAGAAGGGAAATGTGGTTGAAAAGAGCCAGGTTATTTTCTAGGGGTCAAAAGTTGTCTATTATAGATGTTGACACGGATGTGGTGAAAAGGGAACACTTAGGCCGGGCGCGGTGGCTCACACCTGTAATCCCAGCACTTTGGGAGGCCGAGGTGGGCGGATCACCTGAGGTCAGGAGTTCGAGACCAGCCTGACCAACATGGCGAAACCCTGTCTTTACTAAACATACAAAAAATTAGCTGGATGTGGTGACAGGTGCCCGTAATCCCAGCTACTCAGCAGGCTGAGGCAGGAGAATCACTTGAACCTGGGAGGTGGAGGTTACAGTGAGCCGAGTCGCCCACTGCACTCCAGCCTGGGCAACAAGACTGAAACTCTGTCTCAAAAAAAAAAAAAAAAAGAAAAGAAAAAAAGGAAAAGGGAACAGTGATGGTGGGAATGTAAGTTAGTACAACCACTATGGAAAACAGTATAGAGATTCCTTAAAGAACTAAAAGTAGAACTACCCTTCGATCTAAAATCCCACTACTGGGTATGTACCCAAAGGAAAAGAATTCATTGTATGGAAACGACACTTGCACATGCATGTTTATAGCAGCGCAATTTGCAATTGCAAAGATGTGGAACCAGCCTAAGTGCCCATCAACCAATGAATAAAGAAAATGTGGTTTATATACATGATGGAATACTACTCAGCCATTAAAAGGAGTAAAATAATATCTTTTGCAGCAACTTGGATGGAGTTGGAGGCCATCATTCTAAGAGAAGTAACTCAGGAATGGAAAACTAAATATTGTATGTTCTCACCTATAAGTGGGAGCTAAGCTGTGAGGCTGCAAAGGAATAAGAATCACATAATGAACTTTGGGGGCTCTGGGGAAAGGTTGGGAGGGGTGAGGGATAAAAGACTACATATGGGGTGCACTGTACACTGCTTGGATGACTGGTGCGCTAAAATCTCAGAAACCACCACTAAAAGAACTTATCAGTGTAATAAAAAACCACCTGTACCTCCAAAAACTACTGAAATAAAAATTAAAAATAAAAACAATAGAAAAATAAAAAGTGAACAAAGGATTTGAATAGACATTTCTTAAAAGAAGACATAGAAATGACCAACAAGTATGTGAATAAATGCTCAATATCATTACTAAGAGAAATGCAAATCAAAACCGCAATAAGATATCATCTCACCCCAGTTAAAATGGCTATTATCAAAAAGACAAAAAATATCAAATGCCAATGAGGACGTGGAGAAACAAGAACTCTTATACACTGTCAGTGGGAATGTAAATTAGTACAGCCATTATGGTAAAACAGTATGGAGGTTCCTCAAAAAACTCAAAATAGAACTACCAAGTGATTCATACATCCCACTGCTGGACATACATACAAAATAAAGGAATTCTGTATATGGAGGAGATATCTGCATTCCCTTGTTTATCACAGCACTATTTACAATAAATGTCCATCAGCAGATGAATGGATAAAGAAAATGTGGTATATATACCACATATGGCTGGCTGGATAGCATACAATGGAATGCTATCGAGCCATAAAAAAGAATGGAATCATGTATTTTGCAACAACATGGAGGGACTGGAGGTCATTGTCTTAAGTGAAACAAGTCAGGCACAGAAAGTAACACATCACCTGTTCTCACTCTAAGTGGGTGCTAAAAAAATGTGTACACATGCATGTAGAGAGTGGAATGACAGACGATGGAGACTCAGAAGGGTGAAGGGGTGGAAGGGGGAGGATTATGAGAAATTAGTTGATGGGTACAATGTGTTATTTGCATGATCCATACCTTAAAAGCCCTGACTTGACCACTATGCGATCTATGCTTGTAACAAAATTGTACGTTTCCCCCAAAAAACAAAAACGAAACGTGTCTTTTGTGAAGCCACAACTTAAAGCTACTTCAGTTATAAGCTGAAGGAAAAGCTCTTTCCAATACATCATTTTACTGATCTACTAACCATGCTGCTGTTCAAATTTGGACCTTGCAATAACCAAAATAACACCTTTTATAGAAACACTTTTGTGGGTATGATATATATAGCCAATAAGTATAATACTCTCTGGATCCCAGAAAAGAGAGAGTAGAAATGGCAACATGCTCCTTTTAGAAGTAAATGAGGATGACTGGTCTGACAGCATTGCAAACTAAAGTAATTGCCAAAAATATATACAGTGTTCTATAAACATGCCTATTATTTATAGTGCATTATAATTTGTTGCTTTAATTATATGTGATAGTATAATTACTCACTATGATAATCTGTCCTAAAATATCATAATTTCAATTATATGTATTTGATCTACTAGTTTCTCGGAAGAAATAAAAGCTAAGTGTCTTCCGTAATCCCATGTTCTATCCATTGATTGTATAAAAATAATATGCACTATAATGTGTGCCATTTTGTGAAAGTCGTGTTATATAGAACAGCATAAAAAGTACCACTGGGGACCAGGCGCAGTGACTCACACCTGTAATCCCAGCACTTTGGGAGGCCGAGGCGGGCTGATCACCTGAGGTCAGGAGTTCGAGACCAGCCTGGCCAACATGGTGAAACCCCGTCTCTACTAAAAATACAAAAAAAAAAAAAAAAAAAAATTAGCAGGGCGTGGTGGTGGCCACCTATAATCCCAGCTACTCGGCAGGCTGAGACAGGAGAATCACTTGAACCCAGGAGGCAGAGGTTGCAGTGAGCCGAGATCATGCCACACTGCACTCCAGCCTGGGCAACAAAGAGAGAAACTCCATCTCAAAAAGAAAAAAAGTACTACTGGGTGGGTGCAGTGGCTCACACCTGTAATCTCAACTTTAGAAGGCCCAGGAGGGAGTACTGTTTGAGGGCAGGAGCTTGAGACCAGCCCTGGCAACATAGTGAGACCCCCCATCTCTAAAAAAATTAAAAATCAGCTGGGTGCAGTGGTGTGCACCTGTAGTCCTACCTTTTCGGAAGGCTGAGGCAGAAGGATTGTTGAGCCCCGGAGTTCAAGGTTGCAGTGAGCCATGATCACACCACTGCGCTCCAGCCTGGGTGACAGAACAAGATCCTGTCTCAAAATAAAACTTTTTTTTTTTTTTAAAGTACCACTGCTGTCCTCAAGAGTTTTACAAATCATGAAGGGGAACAAGTCACACAGTCAACAAAATTCAACAATCATCTTTACCAGTCATCTTCTGTCATACTGTGCTAGGCACAGAGGAGTTGTGATGCTTAACAAAAACAATTTCAGCCGGGCACGGTGGCTTCACGCCTGTAATCCCAACACTTTGGAAGGCCGAGGTGGGCGGATCACTAGGTCAGGAGATCGAGACCCTCCTGGCTAATATGGTGAAACTCTGTTTCTACTAAAAATACAAAAAAATGAGCCGGGTGTGGTGGCGGGCGCCTGTAGTCCCAGCTACTCGGGAGGCTGAGGCAGGAGAATGGCGTGAACCCGGGAGGCGGAGCTTGCAGTGAGCCGAGATCGCGCCACTGCACTCCAGCCTGGGCGACAGAGTGGGACTCTGTCTCAGAACAAAACAAAACAGAACAAAATAAACAAAATAGTTTCAACATTTTAATATAATAGCATGCATGATATCTGTTATTCATTCAGTGAACAAAACTTTCTCCCAAGCCTACCTTTCGATATTCACAATCTATAGGAGAAAGACGTGATAAGTAGGCAAACAAATGACATCTTGAATTACACATTAGGAAAAGAGTCACACAGGGTGAAGACGAAGAATGAAGAGGGACATCTGCTTCTATGAGCTTTATTAAAGGAGGCCTATGTGTGGTATCCCTCAAGGACTGAGACAGCTCCTGCCTGGCAGGAGAGAGAGGAGAGTGATCAAAGGCTCCAAGGCACAAAGGAGCACGGTGTTCCTGTAGATGGAAGTAAGCCAGTGTGGCTGGAGCACAGTGCACTTGGAAAGACCTCTTGAAATGAAAGGAAAACTGGAGTGAGATCAGCACTTGAGAGGTGCACCCTACACAAGAATGCAGAGGGCAAAGCATGAAGCAGGATCCAGAAGATACCATAGAGTAGGTGGTGCTTTTTTTTTTTTTTTTGAGACGGAGCCTCACCCTATTGCCCAGGCTGGAGTGCAGTGGTGCAGTCTCGGCTCACTGCAAGCTCTGCCACCTGGGTTCAAGTGATTCTCCTGCCTCAGCCTCCCGAGTAGCTGAAATTACAGGCGCCGGCCACCGCGCCCGGCTAATTTTTGCATTTTTAGTAGAGACGGGGTTTCACCATCTTGGTCAGGCTGGCCTTGAACTCCTGACCTCGTGATCCACCTGCCTCGGCCTGCCAAATTGCTGGGATTACAGGCGTGAGCCACCGTGCCCGGCCTGAGGAGCTGGTATTTTAAGATGAGATTTGAAGGCATGGTATGTTTTCTGTAGGCCATGATAGCATAAGAGGGAATGAGTAACACTGTGACGCAAAGAAAACTTCCAACAGTGGTATTTATTCTCAGAGGATTCAAACATTTGTGCAGGGAGATGCAATAGATACGTTTGTAATGGTGAGGTCTTAAATACTAAGATAAGATTGATGCGTTTTATTATTCAAGCAATAGGGAAACTACTTAAGCACTATAAACAGGAAGTGGCTTGATCAAGGGAAGTTTTGTGAGGCTCATCGGGAGGAGTATGTGAGACAGGTTGGAGGCAGAGATGCCCACAAGAAAGCCAATGAAATAGAGTAAGTGTGAAGAGGTGGCTCTCCACAGGGGTGGTGGCAACAGACATATGCATAAGGTGAGGAGTACAGAGACAACTGTATTGTCACTAGTCACTAGGTACTGCATCATTGATTTCAACCCACTCCTGAGAGATCTCAGCTCACACAACATCTATAAACAACCATGGAGAGAAGCAATGTTCAGGATAGGTATGTAGTTTTAATACTATACGCGGCTGGGCACAGTGGCTCACTCCTGTAATCCCAGCACTTTGGGAGGCTGAGGCAGGTAGATCACAAGGTCAGGAGTTTGAGACCAGCCTGGCCAATATGGTGAAACCCCATCTCTATTAAAAATACAAAAATTAGCTGGGCATGGTGGTGTGCACCTGTAGTCCCAGCTACTTGGGAGGCTGAGGCAGGAGAATCGCTTGAACCCGGGAGGTGGAAGTTGCAGTGAGCCAAGATCAAGCCACTGCACTCCAGCCTGAGCGACAGAGCAAGACTCTGTCTCAAAAAAAAAAAAAAAAAAAAAAAGAAAAAGAAAAAGACTATACACTTAATCGTTTCTCTGGTTACTCTGAAATTCACCCCTTTACGGAGGCAGGGTTGCCAAAAGATAAGGATTCTGAGCTGTATCACCTTGGCCTGAATTGCACTAACTGAATTTTAGTTCATGTGAGACCACCAGTGGGAGCGAGGTGTAGCAAAAGAGAGTTCTGTGGCCTGCATCAACACACTGATGCTAAGAACGATGCTGCAGGTAGGATTTGCTATATCACATCAGACGATCTTTAGGATAATGCTGGGCAGACGTCTCATTCCAGTCTCTTAGGAATGTTTGTAATGGCTGTGCTTCTTCAGAGTATTTGATTTGTTTTCTTCTGATTATTAGTTATGAAGTTTGTGATTAATCAGGCTCTCCTTTTAGGAGTTACTACTGGAAACTTTAGAGCCAATCTGTGGCCCTTGTTGATTGATTACTTTTGTGTCTTAACCTCCATGTTACACTCTTGCTTCTTTCCTCTTTCCTCTTTTTAATTTTCCTCCGTGAAATATTACTGCATGAGATATTACTGAAGTTTATAAGATTTTGTAAACCACCTTAGTTTCTAGAATAAGTAACAGTAAGATTAGGAAAATGGAATAAAATGCTGAATAAGTGCTAATTCTTTTCCTTTTTCTTCTTCTTCTTTTTTTTTTTTTTGAGACGGAGTCTTGCTCTGTCTCCCAGGCTGTAGTACAGTGGTGCAATCTTGGCTCACTGCAACCTCCGCCTCCTGGGTTCAAGCAATTCTTCTGCCTCAGCCTCTCAAGTAGCTGGGACTACAGGCACGCGCCACCACGCCTGGCTAATTTTTGTATTTTTAGTAGAGACAGGGTTTCACCATATTGGCCAGGCTGGCCTCGAACTCCTGACTTTGCAATCCGCCTGCTTGATCTCCCAAAGTGCTAGGATTACAGGCGTGAGCCACCACGTCTGGCAGGTGCTAATTATTTTTCTTGTAGCCAACCTTTCCTACCCTCTATGGGTAGAAGTTTGTTTTTCTTTTATTTTGTTTTGTTAATTGACAGGAGCAAAATCTGTCTTTAAAAAAAGCATAAATTGTGTTTGTTCATTTATTTTGTCTGCCATTTTGAAAGCATCCCAATAAAAGGCCAACAGTTGCAAAGCCAAAAATCTGTAACTTCAGACAACTCTTTCCATTTATAGAAGGTGGATGACTTTGTTATAGAAGATGCTGGGCGTGGTGGCTCACGCCTATAATCCCAGCACTTTGGGAGGCCAAGGTGGGCAGATCACAAGGTCAGGAGATCGAGACCAGCCTGTCCAACACGGTGAAACCCCGTCTCTATTAAAAATACAAAAAAAATTAGCCGGGCGTGGTGGTGGGCACCTGTAGTCTCAGCTACTTGGGAGGCTAAGGCAGGAGAAAGGCATGATCCCGGGAGGTGGAGGTTGCAGTGAGCCGAGATGGCGCCACCGCACTCCAGCCTGGGCAACAGAGCGAGACTGTCTTAAAAAAAAAAAAAAAAAAAAAAAAGACTCCTCCATTTATAGAGGAGACTGGATGACATAAGACTGAGAGAAAATAAGTTGTTAAAGAAACTAGAACAAAACTAAGGAAGGAGAGGAGAAGAAGCAAAGACCCAATTTAAATTTAAATACTGCTGATTGGAGAGGTTGATGAATGAGTACAGATACAGAGTTCTACAGAAGAAATAAGACCTAGCGATTGTTAGATGAGTAGGTGGCTGTAGTTGACAATGATCTAGTGCATATTTCAAAATAGCTAGAAAAGAATAATTGGAACGTTTCTTGCAGAAAGAGAAGACAAATACTTAGGGTGATGGATATCTCAAGTACATTGGTTTGATCTGTGCAAATTACATGGATGTATTAAATTATCACTGTACCCTGAAAATATGTACGTCTATTACATATCAATAAAAATAAATAAAATTGAAAAATAAATAAATACTTCTGATTTTAACCACTAGATGAAGTAAAGCCAAAACTATATAATTGGTATTGAAATTGTGAGATTACCCAGTTTCCTCTGTCATAAAGTGCTCTCACTGACATGGTCAAATTTATTCAGATAAGAAATTCTAGATTTGTTCTCTGTCATGTCCATGATGTCCTAGACTGGCAAGACATTCACATAAGAAGGATGTGATGTTGCTTTTTTACGGGTGATAAATAAGACACCAGCAAGATAAAAAGATCAACCAAAGATCCCAGAGGGACTTACGACAGAGTTGATGATGGAAGCCATCATCCTATGCAGTGGGTTGACAGCCGATTCAGACCTGTATCGTAGATTCTATTGGATTCATGAGAAATATAAGATGATATCACAATGTAAGTCTCTTTAGTCACTTGTGAGTCCCTTATCCCTAATGAACATACACAAAAAGTAGCTAAGATGCCCCTGTCCTCAATCAGGGAATCACCCCCACATGCTTGTGATTCAGAGTGAAAGGACCACAAACTTGAGTAGAGTGCCAAAATTCTACAAGCCAGAGAAAGTCTGTGATATGACAGAGACTACTGATATTTTAGCCAGGCTTTCAGATCATTGAGTCATGGCCTGCTATGCACTGGGGAGCGGTGATGAACAAGACAGATCTGGCCCCTGCCCTGGTGCCTCTTAGTAATAATACTCATTGTGAATTTACTACATGCCAAGGTCCATTCCAATCACTGTACATCACTTAACTGATTAAAGCATCACATCAATCCTGTGAGTTAGATATTACAGTTATCCTCATTTTATAGATGAAGAAAATGAAGCACAAAAGAAGTTAAAGTACCATAACTTGAATGAAATTCCAGTTTCTGTTCCCAAATGTAAGAAGCTTAGGAGTCATTATTTCCAACCTCCTAATGAGAAAAAAAATGCTGAGTAAACTAAAATCAACAACTCTTCTTAGATCCATCAGAGAATTGAGGCAACAGGGCAAACTGCTGCCCTGAAAGCCAGAAAGACAGACAGGTGGATACAGAGAATCACAGCTTTCCAGCCAAATCCCCACAGCTAGTCCTAATATGGCAGGAACACTTAAAACTGTGATTAATGAATTGGTGGGTGCTCAGTGTAGATTAACTTGAGGCCTAAAGCTTCCAGGGGGCCCAGTCTTAAGGAGCCCTCACACTTCTGTGAGGTTTATCTCCAGGAGCTCTGCCAGGTTCTTGCGGTGATGATCTGAAAAGAAGTCCTCTCCTAGTTCTGGCAGGGCAAGAAGAGGGGCCATTTTGAAATATGACCAGACACCTCTGTTCTCCTGAAAAAGGGGACTACCCTGAAAGGAAAACTATTTTCTTTTCTTTTCTTTTTCTTTTTCTTTTTTTTTGAGTCAGAGTCTCACTCTGTTGCCCAGGCTGGAGTGTAGTGGAGCCATCTCGGCTCACTGCAACCTCCACCTCCCAGGTTGAAGCGATTTTCCTGCCTCAGCCTCCCGAGTAGCTGGGAATACAGGCACATGCTACCACGCCCGGCTAATTTTTGTATTTTCAGTAAAGACGGGGTTTCACCGTATTGGCCAGGCTGGTCTCAAACTCCCAACCTCGTGATCTGCCCGCCTCAGCCTCCCAAAGTGCTGGGATTATAGGCGTGAGCCACCATGCCCAGCGAAAGGAAAACTATTTTACCAGAGCCTCTGACTGGAGTTTTTACCAAAGCTTAACCAACCTATAACAAGGGAAATATTCAACTCTAGTACATTGTAGACTTCCACATAGGGGAAAGAAAATAGCCAACTCAGACTCCCCAAAACACTGAGATCTAATCATAAGACTACAAAATATTTTCCATCCTCCTCACCCTACCACCATATCAATAGGGCTTTAGTGTAATAACAGAGGAATACAGCTAAAATAACTGGAAGCCTCAAACTCTATTTAAAGAGTCTCTAGAAAAACCCAAAGCCAGCAGAGGAGACAAAAACAATGACACTGGAAGATATTTTAGCTTCTGACACCAGAGCTAAAGAAACAATATGCATAGACTAACTCTAGCCAGAAAAGCATGAAAACACAAACCCTCACATTACCTCTGTTCCTCTTACCAGGTGTATTATGTCCAGCTTGCAACAACAAATTTCAAGGTATGCTGAAAGGCAAAAAACAATCTGAAGAGGCAATGCAAGCATCAGACCAGATTCAATATGGGAGACATTCTGGAATCATCTGACTGGAAATGTAAAATAACTATGATTAATATGCTAAAGGCTTGAATAGAAAAAGTGGACAACATGCAGAAAGCGAGGTAACCTGTAAGCAGAAAAATGAAAACTCTAAGAAAGAATCCAAAGGAAATGCCACAAATCAAAAAGTGTAATGGAAATAAAGAATGCATTTCGCCAGGTGTGGTGGCTCATGCCTGTAATCCCAGCACTTTGGGAGGTCAAGGTAGGTGGATCACCTGAGGTCAGGAGCTCGAGACCAGCCTGGTCAACATGGTGAAACCTCATCTCTACCAAAAATACAAAAATTAGCCAGGTGTGGTGGTACATACCTGTAATCCCAGCTACTCAGGAGGCTGAGGCAGGAGAATAGCTTGAACCCGGGAGGTGGAGGTTGCAGTGAGCCGAGATCGTGCCATTGCACTCCAGCCTGGGCAACAAGAGCGAAACTCCATCTCAAAAAAAAAAAAAAGAATGCATTTCATGGGCTCATTAGTAGATTAGAGACAGCTGAGGAAAGAATCAGTGAGCTTAGGGCTCATCAGTAGACTAGAGACAGCTGAGGAAAGAATCAGTGAGCTTAGGGCTCATCAGTAGACTAGAGACAGCTGAGGAAAGAATCAGTGTGCTTAACAAGATGTCAATAGAAACTTGCAAAATGAAAATGCAAAAAAAAAAAAAAACTGCAAAAAGAAAAAAAAAAGGAAGACACAGTACAGAATATCCAAGAACTGTGGGACAATTTCAAAAGATGCAACATGTGTGTAATGAGAATAGCAGAAGGAGAAGAAAAAGAATGGTGAAAGGAGAGTCATGAAGACTTGGGACGTAATGAGAGTGTATAACCGAAAAATCTAATGGAACCTGGGCTTCTCTGGAGTGTTAGGGACCAATTGAAAAATAGACACAGAAATCAAATATGTTTCAATATGTCAGCCTTGTTGCTGATATTGGTTCAGAGAAAGTGGCTTGGACCCAAAGGCAAAATGACTTCCAACTCCTGCTCATCACAGATTACATTTAGCCACTCAGTCGAAACAGAGATGCTACACCATTAGTGCTCCCTGGGCTGGGCTTGTTGCCTGAAGAAAGTAGAAATCCAGAACAGGTGTAGCTTGTGGGTGGTTGGTAACACAAGAGAAAGCCAGAGATGGAGATTTGCACACTCACTCATCCTTATCCCGAAGTTTTCAACCAGCTAAGTTACTTCCCCTGTGGAGGGAAGCCAGTAAAGAACAGAGAAAGCAATTGAATGAAAAATATCCTCCTCCTGTGGGAGGAGAGAGTGCCACCGTTTGTTAGAAATGTGAGGCACGGGAAATACGCGTGTAGCTAGGGAGAAATCAACCTCTAAGCCGACCCCTAGAAAGTATACAAGAACTGACATGAGGGGTGGAGCTGCAGACTGTGGCTCTTCCAGGCATCAGAAACACACTAGATTTAAAAATTAATATTTTAAAATGATACTTGTTCTGGTACATTTTTTCAGATCTACCTTGTGAGCAAATGAGGAGAAATGTATATTTAAAAAGACCATGGAAGGAGAAAAGAACGAGATACTCCATAAATAAAAGAAAAATCACGCCTTATTCATTTTTGTTTTCCTATATCCTACCAGAAACAGTGCCTTGGTCGACACAGTGTTTATAAATGAATGTTATGGTGGAAGACAATGAGGCACATATTAAGCAACTATTTATAGCTACTGTAAAGAATCATCATTATAAGTCTTTTAAAATGTTCTTGAATTGGTGGTTATCAGATAATACTGATTTTTTAAAAAAAATCTGGGTCACTGAATACGTAAATTAATCAGATGAATAAATGAATCGTTTTCTCCAAAATAACCAGAGGTTTTTGAGTTGAGGGAAACCATCTGATAAATGAACTGAGATTTCTGTTTCCCCAAAATCTAGAATTGTTCAGAAAGATAAAATACTTTGAGATATTTATGCAAACCTTCTGATGTGGGAAGGTTCACCCATATCAAATTGAAGGCCTTTATATCTCACTACAATATAGCTTTGTTGAGTGACGAGATTTAAGAGCTATTAAGGGATTGGAAAGCTAAAGATAAGCCTGACAGGGGAATTAAGACTAGAGAGAAAGTGAGAGTCTAGAGGAGGAAGGAAGGCTTAGGCTGGAAACGTAGGAAATGGGGAGCCATTGTCCATGAGCAACTGCATCTTCCTTTAAGAAGCCATTTCAGGCTGGGTGCGGTGGCTCATGCCAGTAATCCCAGCACTCTGGGAGGCTGAGGCAGGTGGATCATGAGGTCAGGAGTTCAAGACCACTCTGGCCAAGACGGTGAAACCCCCTGTCTACTAAAAATACAAAAATTAACTGGGCGTGGTGGTGGGTGCCTGTAATCCCAGCTACTCGGGAGGCTGAGGCAGAGAATTGCTTGAACCTGGGAGGCAGAGGTTGCAGTGAGCTGAGATCGCGCCACTGCACTCCAGCCTGAGCGACAGAGTGAGACTCCATCTCAAAAAAAAAAAAAAAAGGCAGAAAAAAAAGAAGCCATTTCAAACCTTTGCCTTATGGGTATATATGAATGAGGCTAATTCATATTTTAACCACACAAGTAAGCCAAAGGAGCTGGACTAGCAGAACTGCTGTCAGCAGAGCCTGTTGCAAGCTGTATCCCCTGGCTGTGTGCTTGACTGAATTCCTTTCTAGCCCTGGGCTGAGCGTCATTGATTTAGGAACCTCGCTGGGCTGTTTTTGTTGTTGTTATTTCCATTGCTTGCCCAGTTTCCTGATTATAACAATCAACCTAGTTGCAGTGGTCATTTCTTGCCTGTCCATTCATTCAGGGTATTCTTGGATTATATGTCAGATATCCATAAATTGCAAAAATGCATAAATATCAAGTGTGAGCCCTTAGAACCAGTACAATAAATACCTCATTGTTGGACCAACCCATCCAGTGCCACTAAATCAATACTGCTAATAGAAATATGTCTCTCCCTCTTCTAATCTTCCTCACCAAGAAAATTCTCTCTCTCTCTCTCTCCTCATTAATTATGAAATCAATAGACCCGGTAGGGTGGCTCATGCCTGTAATCCCAGCACTTTGGGAGGCTGAGGTAGGCAGATCACTGGAGGTCAGGAGTTTGAGACCAGCCTGGCCAAGATGGCAAAGCCCCGTCTCTACAAAAAATGCAAAAATTAGCCAGGCATGATGGTGCATACCTGTGGTCCCAGCTACTCGGGAGGCTGCAGCATAAGCCAAGATCGCGGCACTGCACTCCAGCCTGGGCATCAGAGTGAGACTGTCTTACAAAAAAAAATATATAAAATAAACAACTTCCAGAAATTAGAGAGGCTTTGTCCAAACCCTGCATGATTCACTCTTGTTCATTCTTTGAATAACTCGTATGAGCAGAAATGGCCTTATAAGTAGGTAAAAGAGAATATTTACTTAGGAAGATTTTTGGAACATTGAGAATACTTGCCTGCAGTAACCAGCCTCCAACGTGACCCCCAGTGATCCCCACTTTCTGATATTCATACCCTGTGTAACTCCCTTCCATATTGGGCCAGGGTGGGTCAGTGTGTCCAAGAGAATACGGCAGAAGTGATGACACGTCACTTCTGAAATTAAGTTATAAGAGACGCCACAGCTTGCTCTTGATTGCACTTTCTCTTTGTCTCCTAGATCGCTTACTGGGGGGAAGCCAGCTGCCGTGTCATGAGTGCCCACTGTGGAAATGAACTGAAACCTCCTGCCGACAGCCACCCAGGTGAGCTTGGAATTGGATGCTCCAGTCCAGCCAAACCCTCAGTTTACTGTAACCCCAGTTGACAGCTTGGCTACTACCTCCCGGGACACCCTGAAGCAGAACCACCCAGCTAAGCTCCTCCTGAATTCCTGACTCACAGAAACTATGCAAGATAATAAATATTTGTTGTTTTATCTCTTTAAGTTTTGCGGTAATTTGTTATGAAGCAATAAATAACTAATAGACTACCCATGAATTAATTCTTTTACTAATTCATTTATTCAACAAGTACCTGTTAAAGTCTACAGTCTTTCAATCTCTGTAACACACTTCAGTGCGATAATAAAACAATATATCCCCTCAAGGAGCTAACAGAATCATTTGGAACACAAGTACATAAATAGTGTTAATTCAAATTGGTAAGTGCAATGAAAAAGTTATATTAAAAAGCATGCAAAACTAGAAAGTTTATCCAGAAGAGTTTGGTAAAGCTTCATAGAACTATCATACTTACACTGTGTCTTAAAGAACAAGGAGAATCAGTCAATGAGGAGATAAAATGTATTGCAAGGAAGAAATAGCCATTAGCCAAAGCTGAATTCATGAGGTATCATGCTGTATGCAGCGATTTGGAGTCAGTTTAGTGCTTCTGGAATGGAATACTGGAAGTAGAGAATGGCGGGAGATATATCTAGAAATGTATTACAAAGGGCCCTAAATGCTATATTAGAACACTTAAAGTTTATCCTATAGGTCCTGCGGAGCCAATGAGCGCCCATAAACAAACAAACAAACAAAATGTCATCATCAAATTTGCATTTGGTTACAGAATGAATGGAGGATGGATCTGAGGTCAAAAAGGCTAGAAGCAAGGACTCTAGTTGGAAAGCTGGTCTTGCAATGATCAAATAAGAGAGGATAAAGGCCTGGATTAGGGCCTTGGTGGCAGGAATGGAGAGGACTAGATGACTGTTTGGACATGGGGAAAAGCAAAGGAGGAATAAAGGACAATGTTCTGCTTCGCGACTGTGTGACATGATGGAATGTGATTCCACCACAAGAGAAAATAGACAGAGGGGAGAAAAAGATTATTGGGGAAGTTTCTAAGTTCAGTCTGGGCTGTGCTAAGGTTGAAACTGCTCCCCTTTGATAAGAAACATCACATAATTGGTAGTAATACCTTTGTCTACAATTAAAGTCCCATCATCCCTGGTAGGGAGGTATGACATGCCAACGCACACCGTAAGACAGTGAAGTGTAAAGAACTGAGAATCAGGAAATATGCACGCATCAAAATGGCAATCTTTCATTGATAGAAAGAAACAGGACTTTATATAAATCTTGGCAGTCTTTTGGGTATAGGAGCGCCTGGCGAGGGGGTGGTGATTCAGTGGGAAACTGGCGAATCATGGGGAAATTCTACTACACGCAGGAAGCCAAATTTAGGATTTAAAATAGGACCTCCCTGACTCAAATTTCCTTTTCAAACATGGTATTATCAAGAGTAATTGGATTATTTCAAATGTTATTTCTAGAGTTTCATTTTAAAATAAAATTATATTGGCCACTCAAATCACAGACTGGATTGCCATCTGTTTCCTACTCCAGTATATTCTTGCCGTCTGGGTATTTGCCTTCTCAGAGAAAGAAAGAGAAGGCAAACGGCTTAGGATGTGGGGAAGAATATGCAATTGGACTTATGAAGATGGCAGTATAGCCCGGGGCTTTTTCTTCTCATTTGGGAAAGCTGTTGCTGGAGGAGAAAAAAAAAAGTGAGAATGGAAAAGAAAGTAACTTTTTTTTTTTAGCACTTACCAGATGTCAAGCTCGACTAGGTGTTTTCCATATACTGTCATTTAATCCTCATACATTTGGAAGGTGTGTATTATTAACCCTGTTACAGAAATCAGGAAGCAGGCTTTCAGAAAGTTTAAGTAATTTGCCTAAAACTGCACAGGACACTGCTTTCAAAATCTGTTTTCCCCCTTAATTAAATGATGAGTCACCTGTTCATTCACAGCTAATGTATATTGCAAGGAGAAAGTGATCCTTTTGCTTGATAAAACACACTTTTTGAATCATCATGGAAAATGTGCGGTACCCCAAATAACCCATCCAGAAATAGCAAAGAAGACGCGGTAGGGTAAGACTTTCTCCTCCCTAGTCTCAGCATATGGATAATTCCTCCTTTTGGAATTGAAGTCATAACTACTGAATTTTTCATAAATATTTTAAATGGAAAAATCCTCATTGCCCTTTTGAATTATAATTCTAATACTTGTTCCTGTAGGGGAAGAGAAAAGAGAGAGAAAGAAAAATGGGTAAGGAAAAAGTAGAGTTCCTTGGTAGTCCCATGCTGCCCAGAAATGATCACTGTTCAAAATTCGTATAGTATTTCTATGAACTTTCTTCTAGGCAAATGCATATGTGTGTCTAAGTATGTACACACAGACACACACATATATGAGACTTTCCTATAAGGGCTTCTGTGCAATCTGCTTTTCTCATTTATTTAACAACATATTGTTTAAATATCTCATGATGCATATAGCTACCCGATTCATTGAAAGAGCTTCACTCTATTCTATTATTTAGAAATGGTTACCAAACTTGGCCGGGCGCAGTGGCTCACGCCTGTAATCCCAGCACTTTGGGAGGCTGAGGTGGGCGGATCATGAGGTCAGGAAATGGAGACCATCCTGGCTCACATGGTGAAACCCTGTCTCTACTAAAAATACAAAAAATTAGCCGAGCGTGGTGGTGGGCGCCTGCAGTACCAGCTACTTGGGAGGCTGAAGCAAGAGAATGGCGTGAACCTGGGAGGCTGAGCTTGCAGTGAGACGAGATTGTGCCACTGTACTCCAGCCTGGGTGACAGAGCAAGACTCCGTCTCAAAAAAACAAAAAAAGAAACAATAAAAGGAAAAAGAAATGGTTACCAAACTTAAATAGCATTTCAAGAGCAAAATAAAGTTAATGAAGGGTGGAACAACATGCAAATCTGAAACTACCTATATTGTGTATCTCTAGTGCATTTGTTCTCTAGTGTCCATCTGTGTACCCTACAGCTAGTTGGCTCAAGAAGCAGATACTTTCAGATGAAATTTTCCCAGAGCAGAAAAAAAATTAAAAACCTTAGTTGGACCATCGATTGCTGGAGTCAGAAGTAGACCCGCAGTTGCTCCTCAATCTTGCTTTGCACACTGGCAATGTCTCACCCACTCCCAACATCCCAACTCCTCTGTCCTGGGGCTCGTTCCCATGGTACATTATATTCTTTTACACCAGGAGCATCCTACAGAGAGTTGCCTACCTAAGAAGCGGCAGCCTGATGCTGATGAAAATCCAGCTATGGCTCACAACTGAATAAACTGTTTATCTGTTCCTGTTGTGTGATACAGTCACTACATACTCTAGAAAATAATCTCTCTCTCTCTCTTTCTTTTTTTTTTTTAGGCCCATGACATAGTTTTACTGCAGCTCCAATCTGACTCTACCCTACTCACACTCTATTCTCAGGGGTTTGGGGAAGACCACCCCACTAGGGGCCCTGTCCCCACCAGAGCTTGGACATGGGATCTCTCTCAAGCAGGGGACTTTGTCCTTCTTGGAGGCTTCCTGTCTCTCTCAGGACTGTACGTGCTCTGAGCTGGGCTCGGCTGACACTTGGCTGTTCCTTCAGTCTTGGCCCTGAGGCCATGACAATCCGGGAAGTTCCGGCTGTCCATGTCAGTGGGGCCTGGGGATGTGGCAGTCCACGTAGAAGTTCCTGGCGTTCTAGGGCAGACTGAATTCTGCCCCTTCCAGCTCCAGCATCAGCACGATCTGCCAGCCCAGCAGGGAGTTCTCCTGGAGGAGGGAGGCCATGTCTAGCATGCTGTCTTCCCTCTCTTCGGGAGGAGGCAGAAGGTCCAGGTCTTCGCTCACATGCACATGGCAGGTGGAGCATGCCAGGAAGGCTTCACAGGCACCTTCCAGGTTCACCCCATGGCATTGGGTCAGGTGGAGAATATTGTCCTCCGACTCTGCAGCTCACTGGATCCGCCAGCCTGACAGGTCTACAAACACCACGTTCACCACATCCCTGGGCATGTCAGCCTGTCTCCTGAAATGTCCTGGTTGTCACTGGCGCCTACGCCTCCCTGGACCCTAAAGAGCTCCTGGGTATGTTACACAAGGTGTCCCTGGCAGCCCACAGCAGAACCCTGGCACTCATTCTTCCCCGGCCCTCGGAGGCGGCCATGACAGGTGTCGGGTGAACCAGTCAGACAATTATCTCTCTTATCTTTCATCATGGCTCACCAAAAGGGAATTTTTTCTCAAAGTATATATCCAGTTTTTTATGTCTGACCATTATAAATAAATCTTCCAAATTTGATGAAAAAGTTATCTAGTCGTTTTCAAGTTAAATCATAATCACAAAAAAAGAAAAAAATAGAGCAAAACATGATGTCATTTACATAGATCGGGAGTCTGCAAATTAGAGCCATGGTTCAAATTCAGCCCATTGCCTGTTTTTATAAATAAAGTTGTTTTTTTTTGTTTTGTTTTGTTTTGTTTTTTTTTGAGACAGAGTCTTGCTCTGTTACACAGGCTGGAGTACAGTAGAGCAATCTTGGCTCACTGTAATCTCCTCCTCCCAGGTTCAAGCAATTCTCTTGCCTCAGCCCCCCAAGTAGCTGGGATTACAGGCATGTGCCGCCACACCCGGCTAAGTTTTGTATTTTTAGTAGAGACAGGGTTTCGCCATGTTGGCCAGGCTGGTCGTGAACTCCTGACCTCAGGGGATCCACCTGCCTCAGCCTCCCAAAGTGCTGGGATTACAGGCATGAGCCACTGCGCCTGCCCTAAATAAAGTTTTTTTAAAAAACTTTTTATTAGCCCTGCCTAAGCAAGACCTCAAAAAATTTGGTTATCAACTCACACTGTTCCTCTCCATGGAAACTTCTAGTAAATGGCAAAAAACTTATTCATTCTAAAGAATGAGCATATAAATAAAGTTTTATTGGAACACAGCCACACACATTGATTTATGTATTGTCTATGGCTACTTTCACCCTATAATGGCCAAGTTGAGAAGTTGCAGCAGAGATCATATGGCCTTCAAAGCTTAAAATATTTACTATGTGGCCCATTAGAGAATGTTTGCCAACCCCTGATATAAATCAATACTCAAGAATCTTTCAAGTAATTTGATATGTTTTCTCTGCTAGAGTCCCATTTTGTTTCATAGAGACACAGTGCCTTATGTCAACAAAATGTCCCAGTGGTAAGAATTCTTAGAAGAGCAGCTCTTCAGTGAGACTGGTCTTTCTCTTCGGGGACAGTGATATGTTTCTCTGCCTCCTCCGGTGATATCCCTCTAAGCGATGCCTTCTCCCCTTCATGCATCCTTAGCACGACAACGACACTTGCCAAGAGTCCTACGATGCTACTCAGCAATTTCTCTCCCTGCTTACCAGAAAGGAAGAAAGAAATTCCAGAAAACAAATTAAGAAAGAAAATGTGGGTGGAGGACGGATGACTTACTGGTATCTCCTCCACCCATCCTGTCTCCTGTCCCTACTCCGATCACCAGTGAGACGCCTGAGGTGTGGGAGGGGCTGTCAACAAAAGCGTGAGTGCCTGCAGATGTGGGTGTGTGCCTTTGAAAGTGAGACTGTTGGAGAATGGCCCTGTGCTCAAAGGAGAGAGAATTTGTCCCCCGGGACAGAGAGCATCTGTAGGAAATTACAAACTTGAGGTCACGTGTATTTAAGAGTGAGAAACTCAGTGTGGAAGAGACTTCGACAGAGTGAGTGATAGAGATGTGAATGTACCCAGGACAGTGAGCGTGTGAGACAGTGAAGAAGGCAGGGATGAATATGTGTCCCAGAAAGACACCACATGTGTGACTGTGTGTGTGAACAAACAGAGAAGGAAAATAAATGAAATTCATGAGGAGGGATACAAAATATGGATGAGACTGAGATTCTTTCCAGCAAGAGGGGATTTATACATATATGATGTCACTTTGGTGTGACTACATTGCATGTCAATCCAGTACCACCAACAAGAAATTCAATCTTAATCCGACTCCTCTGGGTTGTAAAGCATAGTAGAAGTGGAAGACAAGATGGTTAACTATCTTGTGAAATCAACTATCTCACAAAATATGTGTTCTTCTAGTGTTTTGTTGAGATTTCGATTCCACCAATTATAATGTATTGTAATCACCAATTAACCACTTATTTCACTTGTATTTCCCACTTCATTCTGGGTCTCCCACACAATGTTTGATGCATGGTTTATAATCATTAAATATTTGCTGAATGAACATATTAATCAGTGAAATAGGTTAGCTCTAAATTGAAAATTACAACTCCTGCCATCGATATGCAGGTAAAAAAGACAGCTGCTCATAGGCTACTTCCGTAATCCCTTCAATGAGACCCAAACTGATAGCAAGGATCATGGTTATTGTCATTGCCACAATTGAAAGACAATGATATATGTGCACCAGTCTTCACTACAATCTTTTTAAACACTTTTTTAAAAAGTTTTGGTATTTAAATAACTTTTTGTTTGTTTGTTGTTGTTGTCGAGACAGGGTCTCCCTGTGTTGGTAGGGCTGGTCTCAAACTCCTGGGCTCAAGCAATCCTCCCACCTCAGCCTCCCAAAGTTCTGGGACTGCAGGCTTGAGTCACCATGCCTGGCGAACATACTCCTAGAACAACAAAGTATTAGAACTGGCTCATGATCAGCCAGGTCCCCAGTTGTGGAGAAAAAGTATTCTCTCTCAGGACCTGAATATCAACCCTTGTGGGAGAAGCTTATGTCTGGAGTTGGATTTCACTCAGATAAGACATGGCAGAGCTGACTATTCCCCAGCAGCAACCCAAGTCTAAGCATTTGCCTCTGCTGTAGCTAAGGGATAGATGGACATTTCTGTTAAGTTGAACTATTCCCCAAAACAGAATAAGCATATCCTGCCCAAAGGGAAGTTCATAACATCAAGACCATCTCAAGGGTTGGATTTGGGTGCAGACAATGAACCTGAGAACCATACAGTTTTAGAGCTTCAAAGCTTCTTAGAGAGAGATGACCAAATGTTCCAGTTTCTCCAGGATAGTCCCAGTTTATGCCTTTTGTCTTGGTGTAATTTCAAAGGCAGCCACTTTCACTCTAGAAAGTTAATTATATGGTCAACCTGCTCAGAAATGATCTAATGCTCACTTTACATAACAGATGCTTGTAACCTGGAGCAGTGAAGTGTCTCACCCAGTCACATAGCTAGTGGGACTGTGTGCCCATTCACTGTGGGATTTTCACCATTGCAAGTGGTAACAAAACTTTTCTTTTTGCAGAAAACTCAGGAGAAAGCCTTCACCTCCCTATCATGTAATTCTCTAATGACATGAATAAAAACAGAAGGAAACTGTCTTAGAGACATTCACTTTCCTAAGGCTTAAACTATGGAAGGATTTCTTCATTCATAAAGGAAATGCATACGTTTAGAGAAAACATTTCAATCGGAAAAAAGGGTCCAGATTCAGGCCTCAAGAGAGGGTTCATGGATCTCTCGCAGGAAGGAATTCAAAGTGAGTTGCAGAGTACAGTGAGAAGAGATAGTTTACTGAAAGCTACTCAGTTACAGAGCGAGAATGTCCTCAGAAAGCAAGACGAGGAATGCACCATCTTTGTTTTAAACTCTTCTTATATAGGGATCTTATCTATGTAAAAGCTAAGCTGTGTCTACATGCGGGTGAGCCGAAAAAATGACATTTATTACTTTGTTGATTTAAAGAAAGTTATCCTTGGCATTTTAGTGCGTAAGTACATCAAAGCATGACTATAGTCACCTTAAAAGCACATATCGTTTTGCAATATTGGGACATCTGGGCATTTTGTTGTCACAGGAGTTTGTCCTTGCAGGCGTTATTAAGCTGTTTCCTTGGTGGTAAACATCTTACGGCCGTGGGTCGTGACTGGCAAGGAATGCGTCTTACTAGTTTTAAGATGGAATTGATTTGAAAATGATGTCACCCTGGCTCTCCTATGTCCCTGTTTCCCTAACAATTCCACCATCATATTGGCCTCATCTCAAGTACAACTCAAAATCCTTGATTGTGGGTATACCGAGGGGTGGTGAATTTCAGCTTACGCTTACGCTGCTGGGTAAAGTCCAGCCAGGATTGTGCCTATTCCTGGCATGGGGATAGGAGATGGGTGTTGTGGCTACAAGGTCAGCACTAATTTGCTGACATATGATGAATCTGTACACTGCATTAGACATTAGACATTTATGGACATTTAAAAAAGTATTTGTATAAAACACTTTCCATTCCTTGCTACATAATGTTTTGGATCCTAAAACAACTCAGTGCAGAGGTCAAATTTTGGAGTTCAGCAAAGGCTGCAGTAATCTTACGCAATACATGGGACCTTCACTGACGAAAGAGCTATTGGGTAATTTCATGATATGATGACCTACCTCTCACGTACCCAATCTGTCACCTCCTCTCTTCCCTCTCTGTCCTACCTTGGCTCAGGCTTTGTCACTTTTTATATGGTTGTCACTTGGCTCCATTCTAATGCACCCTGGAGACCACTACAATCTCTGTTACTTACTAGATGAAAAATCCTTTAATAATTCTCCATTGTCTATAAGATGAAAGTCAGGCCGGATGTAACGGCTCAAACCTGTAATCCTAGCTTTTTGGGAGGACAAGGCAGGAGCTGAAAAGTCCGAGACCGGCCTGGGCAACAGGGCAAAACCCTGTCTCTACAAAAAATACAAAAATTAGCCAGCGTGGTGGCACACTCCTGTGGCCCCAGCTATTCAGGAGGCTGATTGGGGGGATCCCTTCACCCTGGGAGTTCAAGGCTGCAGTGAGCCATATTGCGTCACTGTGCTCTAGCCTGGGCAACAGAGGAGACCCTTTTTCAAAAGAAAAAAACTGAAGAAATGAATATGTGAAAGAGTGAATTAATTCATGAAAGAATAAAACTCATAGCATGGTGCAATGAAAGCTGGCGGTTATTGTACCTGCCTATCCACAAAGCTTTCTCATGGCTTACAGAGTAGGAATGTGACACAGGGATGGCCAATCAAAATGCCCCTTTCCCATCGTCATGTGATTCAACTAGGGTGGTCTGTGACTGAAGCCACAGAAATCAGATCTCCACCCTTGTATTTTTTCTTTTTTTTTTTTGAGACAAAGTTTTGCTCTTGTTGCCCAGGCTGGAGTGCAATGCCACAATCTTGGCTCACTGCAACCTCTGCCTCCCATGTTCAAGCGATTCTCCTGCCTCAGCCTCCCGAGTAGCTGGGATTACAGGCATGTGCCACCACGCCTGGCTAATTTTGTATTTTTAGTGAGACAGGGTTTCTCCATGTTGGTCAGGCTGTTCTCGAACTCCCGACCTCAGGTGATCCACCCGCCTCAGTCTCCCAAAGTGCTGGGATTACAGGCGTGAGCCACCGCACCCGGCCTGCCCTTGTATTTTTTGTTTGGAGCTGTACAAGAGGCAATTTCGCCTCTGAAATCACAATAACAGAGGACTATAAAGTTGGGGCTGTCTGGTGAGTTGACTTATAGTTACAGCACTTTAGGGGGCCAAGGTGGGAGGATCGCTTGAGCTCAGGAGTTTGAGACAAGCCTGGGCAACATAGTGAGACTTTGTCTCAAATAAAATATAAACTAATAAAATATTAAAAATAAAACAAACAAAATAAAAAAGGTGGGGCTACAGGCAAAGACTTGCATATTAGAAGAGAATACAAATAAGCAAAGGAAAGAAAGTAAAAGAAATAGATGGCAGTTTGGAGTATGAGAGCCACTGAATCCCTATTACACCCTCTCTCAGGGTTCTCTTGATACCTTGAACTGCCTCAGTGTGTGCCAAGCTAAATGATTCTCCCCTCCCCTTACTTTCCTAAAGCTTGAGAGTTTCTGTTTTGTTTTGTTTTGTTTTCCCGAAGGATGCTAAGTCATTAGTTTTATCTTTACCCACTACAAACTAATGAGTCCTGTTTAATACTACTGCCATTCTGGTCTTTTCTTAGACACTCTTGTCCACTTTGCAAAATTTCCTCCTGTTACTTCCCAATGTAAAAGCTCTACTGGAACAAACAGGCCTGAGTGTATCCTTGAGTCACCTTCCAGCTCTGTTCTTTGTTCTTTCTTGATCCACCTTCTGGGAATGTTCTTCCACTGTATCCCCTCTATTCCACTAATGACAAAACTACCCATTCTTCAAGACTGAGTTCAAATTTCACTTCCTTCTGAAGCCTTTCCAGCTCACTCAAGCCAGAAATAATCACTCTTTATTAAACGCTATAACCAGCATCATTTCTGTCTTTTCTTGTATTTTGGATAATTGTACACAACTGGACCCTTACCCATCCAGAGCCTTTTTCATTTTCTAGAATGTTTAGTAGAGTCCTGTGTACAGCAGTGCTCAATGAGTGTTTGGTGAGCAAATATCCCTATAGGCATAAGTGATTGGTTTTTCAGGAACCAAACAAATCTTTCCAAAATGAAGATCATGAGATACATGACCTACTTCTAGAATCTGTGAAATCTTTTGATGATCCATCTGTAAGTGCTACCTTCCCACCTCACACACACACGTGTGTGCACAAATACACTTCCTTTCTGAGGGTAACAGTGTAGGAACATCACCCCATAAAGAGTATGAGTGACTCACGCCTGTCATCCCAGCACTTTGGGAGGCCGAGGCTGGCGGATCACCTAAGCTTAAGAGTTCAAGACCAGCCTGAGCAACATGGTGAAACTCTGTGTCTACTAAAAATGCAAAAAATTAGCTGGGCGTGGTGGTGCCTGCCTGTGATGCCAGCTACTTGGGAGGCTGAGGCAGGAGAGTAGCTTGAACCCGGGAGACAGAGGTTGCAGTGAGTTGAGATCACACCACTGCACTCCAGCCTGGGCAACAGAGCGAGACTCTGTCACAGACACACAACAAAAAGAGTACATGTGAATTTAGAAAAACCGGAGGGTTTCCATGGAAAATGTGGAAATTTTTTAGATAGAGAATTGTGCTTAAATGTTTAGAGATGTGATAATACACATATAGTTTAGGGGGTCTTACCCGACACTTGGAAACACCAACCCTAAAAGAATGCGATTGAGATAGGAGAGATTTTCACTGTGAAGGTGGATATACTTGTTTGCAGGCTTTTCTTACTCCAGGCACATCCATTTGGGAATTTTTAAAATGTGCTTCCAAAAGTCATTTCTGGAATCCTTTGGGAATCGGCTTGGCTTTCCTGTTGTTCAAGTGAATCCACATGGCTGTAACACCTCAGGCAAAATGTGAACTGAACACCATGCTGGCATGTCCGCAGAGCCATGAGTTTGAGAGCAGTCTTCTCGCTTTAGTGGTGGGGATAAATTAGGGAAACAGACCATGAGCAGAGAGAAGGCAAGACATTGGACAGGGTAGTTATTACAGCGATTACTTGTTTATAAAGCACATAGGGATAGGAATGAAGCATGGCTGGCTTTCTGTCACCTAATGTAATATATCTGGAAGGTATGTCATCCAGTTCTCTCTTTCCAAGTTCACGGGGATGCTGACAACGTGTTGTCCCAGACCTACATGAAAGAAAAACCTCTGGCCTTATCCCAAACCCATTGCATACTTTTCCTTTTTAAAAAAAAAAAAAAAAAAAAAAAAAGCATACAAACACATTTTCCAGCAGGGACACTTCAAAGCAATTGCTGATTCATTGATCCATTCATTCAGCAAACAATTATGGAGTGTCTATTATGTGCCAGACATCATGGTAGATGTTCAGGAAAATTAATAAAAATGAAATATGATCCCTGCTCTCCAAAGTTGCTCAGAGCTTTATAGGAAAGAAATACCAAGGAACACAATAACAATACAACAAAGCAATGATAATATCAATAATGACAGTGGGTAGCAATTACTAAAAATGTAACACATGCCAGGCATGAGGCTGACTGCATTTATACATTATTTAATAATTTTTTTTTTTTGAGATGGGACTTCACTCTGTCACCCAAGCTAAAGTGCAGTGGTGCAATCTTGGCTCACTGCAGCCTCCATCTCCCAGATTGAAGCAATTCTCCTGCCTCAGCCTCCCAAGTAGCTGAGATTACAGGCACATGCCACCATGCCTGGCTAACTTTTTTTTTTTTTTTTTTGAGACGAAGTCTCGCTCTGTCACCAGGCTGGAGTGCAGTGGCATGATCTCGTCTCACTGCAAGCTTCACCTCCCGGGTTCATGCCATTCTCCTGCCTCAGCCTCCCGAGTAGCTGGGACTACAGGTGCCCACCACCACACCCAGCTCATTTTTTGTATTTTTAGTAGAGACAGAGTTTCACTGTGTTAGCCAGGATGGTCTCGATCTCCTGACCTCGTGATCTGCCGCCTCGGCCTCCCAAAGTGTTGGGATTACAGGCGTGAGCCACTGCGCCCGGCCCATGCCCAGCTAATTTTTGTATTTTTAGTAGAGACAGGGTTTCGCCATGTTGGCCGGGCTGGTCTTGAATTGTTGGCCTCAAGTGATCCACCTGCCTCAGCCTCCCAAAGTGCTGTGATTACAGGTTTGAGCCACCACGCCTAGTCTACGTTAATTATTACAATACACTATGAGTTTTACAGATGTGGAAACTGAGGCTTAGAGAAATTAAACAACTTATTGAAAATTAGAGAGGCAGTTAACTCTAGAACCAGGAAACCTAAGTTTATCTGCCTCTAGAGCTTATGATTTTAACTACTAGGTCAAAGAAAGCACAGAGAAAAGTGGGTATTGACTCCCTGGATCATGAACCGGATCTTAGAAATAAGCGGGAATTTGCCTGTGGAATCAAAAGAAGCTGGGTGGGGTAAATGCTGTAAACCTCCCTCTGAGGAGCCACTTGGACGGCCAGCATGGATAACCACCTAGCATGGCTCAATCTCCACCATCTCTGAGTAGTGTGAGTCCCTAGGCCAGCACAAGAAGGCTTCTAGTGAAAACACCTTTGCAAAGATTCTAACAGTGAAAGAAGTGTAGCGTGGCTGATTCCACCTTGCTTCTAGTCTCACAGGCTGGCTGTCCCCACTCATTTCTGGGCATAGGGCAAGCTAACCATGGGAGAAATTTAGTCCATAATTTAACTTTAAAGCAATGATGATCATAGTCTCTCCCTAAAACTGATCCCCTCCTTGTTCTGGAACTGAAACTGCCTTTGTAAGACTAATGAAAGCCCACAAGATTAGGATTAGCCTGAATTCTGCTAAAATGGTAGATGTAGCTAAATGATAACCAGTCATGTGCCCTAGCCTGTTTTTCTGTAATCCCTTACTGCTCCGGAGTCACGTGGCCAGAGGTCACAAGATTTGTGAGTTCTCCAATTGTTCCCATAGATAACATCGCTATTGTGGAACCTAAGGTTGCTCTTTTGAGATGTTTTTCAGACTTTTGCATTCTAGCAACTGACGGACCCCACCCAGACCTGTGACTCCTGGCTCAATCAGTCCTGTGGCCCCTATCCAGAGGCTGACTCAGCACACGGGTTCCCTTTCCATAGCCCTATGATTTCACTCTTTTTTTTTTTTTTTGAGATGGAATCTCTCCCTGTCACCGAGGCTGGAGTGCAATCTCAGCTCACTGCAACCTCCGCCTCCCAGGTTTAAGCAATTCTCCTGCTTCAGCCTCCCAAGTAGCTGGGATTACAGGACGTGCCACCACGCCCAGCTAATTTTTTTTATCTTTAGTAGAGATGGGGTTTCATCATGTTGGCCAGACTGGTCTCGAACTCCTGACCTCGTGATCCGCCTGCCTTGGCCTCCCAAAGTGCTGGGATTACAGGCATGAGACATGGCGCCTGGCCTTACATTTCTTAGAGTCTGTTAAATTAAGTTTAGTCTAAATCTGCCTCCTTACATATCTAAAGTTCAGCCTAAAGGTTTATCTGTACATGGTGAACTATACCCTAAATGGAGGTGTAAATAGACTATAACCTACTCTTGTGCCAATCACTAAGTTTCAGTCAGTGAAGGATAGCAAACTGTTCCAACTGGGTTCAAAGAAGACAAACGCCGAACTGTAACCAATCCGCGGTTTCTGCACCTCACTTCTGTTTTCCTGCATGTCCTTTCCTTTTTCTGTCCATAAATCTTCCATCACATGGCGGTGGTAAAGGCTCTCTGAAGGCATTCTGGCTTGGGGGTTGCCTGACTCTCAGACTGTTCTTTGCTCAATTAAACTCTGTTAAACTTAATTTGTCTAAGATTTTTCTTTTAAAAAACCCCATAGACCAGATTATTGGCTACAGCTCTCTTGATAATCCTATTCCTCAATATGTAGACTGGAGAATGAGGCAGGCTACTTTTCAAATTTACTTAGATATGGCCAGGCATGTTGGCTCATGCCTGTAATCCCAGCACTTTGGGAGGCCAAGGCAGGCGGATCACTTGAGGCCAGGAGTTACAGACCAGCTTGGTCAACATGGTAAAACCCCATCTCTACTAAAAGCATAAAAATTAGCATGGCATGGTGGCATGTGCCTATAATCCCAGCTACTCAAGAGGCTGAGGCATGAGAATCACTTGAACCCGGAAGGGTGGTCGGAGGTTGTAGTGAGCTGAGATTGCACCACTGCACTCTAGCACTCCAGCCTGGGCCACAGAGTGAGACTCCATCTCAAAAAAAAAAAAAAAAAAGACATTTACTAAGGGAGGCTGGCTCTGGACTCACTGCCTATGGGTTAGCCCTGCTTCACGCACACAAAAGAAAAATGTACTTACTTAGATAGGAGTTTGTGGAACACACATAAAGCTTTACATTATCTCTATAGCCAAAGTGACAGAATCATTTTGGAACGATTCTTCTTGTATCTTTACGAAGACCTTTAATTCTCTATATCTTGTCAACTTTAGGCCCTCAAACTGACTCTGTCTTTAGTTTTCAATCCTTTGTGAAAGCTCACTTCTTTTAAAAACTCTTCTGTAGTACTGAGCAAGGGAATCCCTCTCCAAAAGAATGACTTCCTTATTCAGAATATGAAGGAAAACATAAAGGAAGGAAAAAGCAGAAAAATGTAGGTTTTCAAAAATATCCATGCCTTACTTCAGGTATTTTATTCAACATTTGTTGGTTTCAAAAAAAAAAAAAATTTTTTTTTTTTTTTTTACCATCACCCAGGCTGGGGTGTGGTGGCATGATCTTGGCTCACTGAACCTCTGCCTCCCGGGTTGAGAGGATTCTCATGTCTCAGCCTCCTGAGTAGCTGGGATTACAGCTGAGTGCCACCATGCCTGGCTAATTTTTTTTGTATTTTTAGTAGCAACAGGGTTTCACTATGTTGGCCAGGCTGGTCTAGAACTCCTGGCCTCAAGTGATCTGCCTGCCTTGGCATCCCAAAGTGCTGAGATTACAGGTGTGAGCCATCACGCCTGGCCATCATAAATCTTACTGATGGACTGGTTTCTCTCATACATTTGACAATCAAATAATAATAATAAAAAAATATGTGACAAGCTTTGAAAAAAAAGCCATATAAATACTAGGAGTACTCATCTTCTCTTGCTGCATAAGAAAGCGCTGCACACCTGGGCAAGGTGGCTTGTGCCTGTAAACCCAGCTACTCTGGAGGACAAGCCTGGAGGATCAGTTGGGACCAGGAGTTCAAGATCAGCCTGAGAAACATAGCAAGATACCTCCGTCTCTTAAAAAAAAAAAAAATTGAAAAAATTAGCTGGGCATGGTGACAGGCACCTGTAGTCCTAACTACTCAGGAGGCTGAGGCAAGAGGACTGCTTGAGGCCAGGAGTCTGAGACCAGCCTAGCAATATAGTGAGACCCCCATCTCTACCAAAAAATTAAAAATTAGCCAGGTGTGGTGGTGCATGCCCGTAAACTACTCAGGAAGCTGAGGTAAAAGGATGACTTGAGCCCAGGCATTGGAGGCTGTAGTGACCTATGATTGTACCACTGCACTCCAGCCTGGGCAACAGAGAGAGACCCTGTCTCTAAAAAAAAACAACAACAAAAAGTATCACCTATTTAGCAGCTGAAAATGATGCTCATAATATTAGCTCATAGTTCTGTAGGTCCAGAGAGGTTCAGCAGGGTCTCAGGCACAGGATAGCCAAAGGCAAAGGTCAGGGTGTTGGCTGGGGTTAGTTGTTATCTGGAGACTGGGGAAGAAACCATTCCAAGTTCAGCCTGGTTTTGGTAGAATTTGAGTTCTTGCAATTGATGTGCCGAAGTGCTTTTTTCCTTGGTAGCTGTCGGTAAGGGCTGTTCTTGGTTCCTCAAAGTTGCTTACATTTCTTCTCAGCAGCCTTTGCCATCTTCAAAGTCAGCCGTGGAGCATGGAGTCCTTCTCACTTTCTGAGTCTCTGTGATTTCGTCTTCGGCCCTCTTTTCTGCCCCCTTCTTCTATCAGCCAGAGAAAGTTCTCTGCTTTTCACGGTCCATTTGCGTAGATCAGGCCCACCGGAAAACCTTCCTCTCTTAAGGTAAACTGTGTCCTACAGAGCTGTATGTAAGAATTTAATAATGGGAGTGGTAGATTCCCGGATTCACAGACTCCAGAGATTAGGATATGGAATCTTGGGGGGCTGTTTTTAGAATTCTGCCTACCACATTAAGGTGTCAGTAAATAAAAGTACAGAATTTCCAGTTAAATATTAATTTCAAGAAAGCAACAAATATATATATTTTTTAGCCCGAGTATGTCTCATGCAATATTTGGGACATACATAAACATTTTTGTTGTTTACCTGAAATTCAAATTTAATTGGCCATTCTATGCCCTATTTTTACCTGACAACTCTAATAAACACAATCCACTATTATCACATTTCTTTGCTTTAGTATGCCAGAAATGCTAATTTCCACAAGTGCAGAGACAATCATTTAATAATATTACATGTTCTAATGAATCCACTTTCACACAGAAACTAGTTTATATCTACTAATTCAAAAGTATTATTATTATTGAGATAAAGTCTCACTCTGTTGCTATTATTATTATTATTGAGATAAAGTCTCACTCTGTTGCCTAGGCTGGAGCGCAGTGGCATGATCTTGACTTACTGCAACCTGCTTCCCAGGTTCAAGCAATTCTTCTGCCTCAGCCTCCCGAGTAGCTGGGATTACAAGCATGCGCCACCACACCTGGCTAATTTTTGTATTTTTAGTAGTGACAGGGTTTCACCGTGTTGAACAGGGTGGTCTCAAACTCCTGGCCTCAAGTGATCCACTCACCTCAGCCTCCCAAAGTACTGGGATTACAGGCATGAGCCACCGCGCCTGGCCAAAATTATTATATTTAAATGTAAAGGGAAGAAAACTGAATACTTTTGAATGCCCATTATGTACCAAGCACCAAACTAGACATGTAAAGAAGGGAAGGAAAAGGAGAGAGAGAGAGAGTATGAATTATGGGCAAATATTCTTTTTTTTTTTCTTAGACAGAGTTTCACTCTTTTTGCCCAGGCTGGAGTGCAATGGTGCAATCTCAGTTCATTGCAACTCTGCCACCTGGGTTCCAGTAATTCTCCTGCCTCAGCCTCCTGAGTAGCTGGGATTACAGGCATGCGCCACCACACCCGGCTAATTTTGTATTTTTAATAGAGACAGGGTTTCTCCATGTTGCTCAGGCTGGTCATGAACTCCCGACCTCAGATGATCTGCCCGCCTCGGCCTCCCAAAGTGTTGGGATTACAGGCGTGAGCCGCTGCACCCGGCCTAAATATTCTACTTTTTGCCTCACAATAGAATGAGCACAGAAAAACTGTATCAGTCAGCTACTCCATCTCCATTTCAAAAACTGTTTTAATCATGTCTTTTTTTTAGTTTTTATTTTTTGTGTAGATGGGGCCTCACTGTGTTGCCCAGGCTGGTCTCAAACTCCTGGCCTCCAGCGATCCTTTTTTGTACGTTTGATCCTTTGACATCTTGGGGCCTTACTGACCCTGGAAAGAGGCCTCCTCTCAGGGCTAGCAAATTCCTAGAGGTAGAGAACATTTTGCCTCACAGCACACCTCACATGTGCAAACCAACCAAGCCATAGCCCAGACTCCCAACCGCCTCCTTCCTCGGGCTCTCTCAAGGCTCTCGCACTCAGGGCCACTATCCACCATGTGTCCTGTTTACCTCAGGACCAGTTACCAAAACTAGGGGCATCACCCCCAACCCCAAGGCCCACTGAAATTATTCAAACCAGCTGACCCTGAACCTGCTCAGCCTACTTACCCTGCCTAGCCTGTTCCTTCCAGCAGAACCACAGCAAAGTCTCTTGCCCCTGTTTACCCCTCGCTCCCTCTGTGTCCCGACAGACCCCAGTCCTTCCCCATGTGGCCCTGTCTGGCCTGCTGTAGCCCCTGTTTCCAGGGATCTGTAAGTACAAATAACATCTTCCCTCATGACAGTCGTTTCCATGTCTGCGTGCCTTACCATACCTGATTCAGACACATTTCAGGTATCCCTGAAACACCTTTAATGAAGTACCTAATTTATGCATATGGCTTTGAAAATCACTGGGCAGTAGGAAGGATTGAGAACACCAGTATAAATAAGACTCAAGCTTGGCTGTCAACTTTTTCAGCATTCTGGTCGGAGGGTGTACTTCTGTCCACGTATAGCCCCGGGAAGTAAACGGTTTAGGTAGGGAGACAGAAGTGCTGAGACTGTATATTTCATGCTGCAAGTTTCCAGGCAGAAGCCTTGGTCCTTGAAGCAATGCCTTGATATTATCCTCCCGCTTCATCGCTTCCTTCTCACCCAAAAGCTGAAGACTGGACATCAGGCCTTCTGGAACATTGTCAAGTCTTCGCAACAGCAGGTCTCAGGGTTTTTTTCATTATAACCCATGGGAGAGGAATATAATAGTACATAGCGACTGTGTGCACATATACAAATACATAATCATATACAAATAGGAAACAAAAGCTTCCACAACAAAATTTACCCTTAACACACTTTTTTTTTTGAGACAGCCTCCCTCTGTTGCCCAGGCTGGAGCGCAGTGGTGCAATCTCAGCTCACTGCAACCTCTGCCTCCCGGGTTCAAATGATTCTCCTGCTTCAGCCTCCCAAGTAGCTGGGATTACAGGCATCTGCCACCATGTCCAGTTAATTTTTGTACTTCTAACAGAGACAGGGTTTCACCATGTTGGCCAGGCTGGTCTTGAACTCCTGGCCTCAGATGATCCACCTGCCTCGGCCTCCCACAGTGCTGAGATTACAGGAATGAGCCACCGCGCCTGGCCCCCTCACACACTTTGGTATTTTCTCCTTGCTTACCCTTTTTTTTTGTTCTATTTTGTCTGCTTTGTTATTTTTAATCTTGCTGATCCTAATCCACCAAATTGATTTCATGATTTACTAAGGGGTCAGGGAATAGAGTTTGAAAAACATTGCTCTGAATATTGTGGATGAGAGAAAAATGGTGGCTGCAGTTTTCTCTCTGAGCTGATGAACAATCCCAATTAGGAAAACAAAATTTTCAGAGTTTGAGGCCCAGTTATATTCATTGCCTTTATTCATTGCCGTCTTCCTTTACTAGCTCTCAAACAGAACTACCATTTTGAAGTTTTGTCCAAATGGTAAGCTCCTGCCAGAATTTTCATTTTAAGATGGAATAAAGGTGTGTAGGACTTTTTAGATTGATGACCTGGGAGAGGTTTAGGGGATCGTGTACAGAAACTTTCAGATTTTAACTATGTTTTGTAATGCTTTGTAAAGCATGTACCCATAACCTACCCGTAATGTAGGTTATGGGAACATGCTTACTAATTGTACTGTTCTCCATACTTTTTATATGCCAGAATTATTTCATAATAATAAAAAGAGACTGGCAAAAATGGGAAAGAAATATCAAACACATTCATATAATAAGGATGAGCTAGGAAAGGGGATGAGCCACCCGAAAAATAACTTTAGGCCGGGCGCGGTGGCTCATGCTTGTAATCTCAGCACTTTGGGAGGCCAAGTGGGGGCGGATCACCTGAGGTCAGGAGTTCCAGACCAGCCTGATCAACATCGTGAAACCCCTTCTCTAATAAAAATAGAAAAAAATTAGCTGGGTGTGGTGGTGGATGCCATTAATCACAGGTACTCAGGAGGCTGAGGCAGGAGAATCACTTCAACCCAGGAGACAGAGGTTGCAGTGAGCCGAGCTCACTACCCTCCAGCCTGGGTGACAGAGTGAGGCTGTGTCTCAAAAAATAAAAAAAAAGAATTTCATGTCTGGGCATGGTGGCTTACACCTCTAATCCCAGCACTTTGGGAGACTGAGGTGGGAGAACCGCTTGAGCACACGAGTTCATTCGAGACCAGCCTGGGCAATCAGTGAGACCTCAGCTCTAGAAAAAAATATTTTTTTTAATTAGCCAGTTGTGGCGGTGCATTCCTATAGTCCCAGCTACTTGGGAGGCTGAGGTGGGAGGATTGCTTGAGCCTGGGAATTGGAGGTTGCCATGAGCTGAGATTGTGCCATTTTACTCCAGCCTGGGAGACAGAGTGAGACCCTGTCTCAAAAAATAATAATAATTAATGAATTATTTATTTGTTTTGTAATTTTAGATTCACGGGGTACATGTGTAGGTTTATTACATGAGTCTATAGCTTGATGTTGAAGTTTGGGCTTCTAATGATCCAGTCACCCAAGTAGTAATCATAGTACCTGATAGGTAGTTCGCAAAAGAATTTTATATATGACATATCAAGTTGAAAACTTAAGACCCAAACTCCAGCAGCTTGGTAGGATCCAAAAGCTAATTCTTAGTTACTTTTCCCATGTTCGTTCCCAACCTCCTCCAAGATGTATACTAATGATAACAGCTAACATTTATTGAGTACATATTCTGTCTCAGACTACACAACTAGTGTCACCTACATCTTTTCATTTAATCCTCACAATAACCTTCAGGAGAAGACTGTTATTATCCCCACTTTAGAGATAAGAAAAACAGTATTAGGATGGCTAGGTAACTTGCCAAATGTTATACACCTAGTAAGAACAGGCGGAGCCAGAAATGCAAATCAAATTCCCTTAACCTCCAAAATCTACTGTCTCACAGAAGACAATGAAGAAAGAAGTGTATGTTAGTCCATTTTCACACGGCTGATAAAGGCATACCCGAGACTGGGAAATTTATAAAGAAAAAGAGGTGTAATGGACTCACAGTTCCACGTGGCTGGGAGGCCTCACAATCATGGCAGAGGGTAAAAGTCACATCTTACATGGTGGCAGACAAGAGAGAATGAGAGCCAAGTGAAAGGACTTTCCTTTTATAAAACCGTCAGACCCTTTTTTCAGGCGGCCGGGAAGACGGCGGTCACTCAGACAGACGGTGCCTACTAAAAGCAGCCGACCACCTTTCAAAACAAGAAGAGGGTCCTGCTGGGAGACACTGGCAGGAGAAGTCCCCGTTGTACTACAAGAACATCAGTCTGGGCTTCAAGAGGCTATTGAGGGCGCCCACATTGACAAGAAATGCCCCTTCACTGGGAATGTCTCCATTCGAGGGTGGGTCCTCTCTGGCGTGGTGACCAAGACGAAGATGCAGAGGATCATTGTCATCTGCCGAGACTGCACTACATCTGCAAGTACAACCGCTTCAAGAAGGGCCACAAGAACATGTCCGTACAACTGTCCCCCTGCTTCAGGGACGTCCAGATCAGTGACATCGTCACAGTGGGCGAGTGCCAGCCCCTGAGCAAGACGGTGCGCTTCGATGTGCTCAAGGTCACCAAGGCCGCCAGCACCAAGAAGCAGTTCCAGGAGCTCTGAGGCTGGACATCAGCCTGCTCCCCACAACGAAATAAATTTATTTTCTCATTCCCAGGCAAAAAACCACAAAAAACAAAAAACGAAAAACAAAACCATCAGATCTCATGAGACTTACTCACTACCACGAGATCAGTATGGGGGAAACCGTCCCTATGATTCAATTATCTCCCACTGGAGCCCTCCTATAACACGAGGGTATTACGTGAGCTGTAATTCAAGATGAGATTTGGGTGGGGACACAGCCAAACCATATCAAAGTGATACACTGTTTAACTTAATCCATTGTAATAATAGATCACCTGTTTAGATTGAATGCATTAGAGCAGCAGAATCTTTTACCTCCAGTCATTAAGAATTAAGACAGAGATGGCTGTGTTTATAGCTACTGGAAACTTAAAGAGGGAGAGAGTCCAGCAAACAGAGTCTTTGGGGAAATCTGGCATCTTCGAGGCAATCTGTAAGACAGAGAAAGTTTATTAATAAGCCACATATGGCCACCCTTGCCACATCAGGGAGGCACATGTGTGGTACAGGCAGCTGTGATAGCAGCCGTGGGGCCTGGAGAATTCCAGTCCCAGGTTTTATGAGGAGTTAGTGGAGATTTGAAGCAAGCACACAGTAGCAAGCAGTCCTCTTGGGACAGCCCCACCCTTTTGTGTCGTTGTTATATTTTTCAATCTCTCTTGTAAAACTGCCTATGTCTCTGCCTTTCAGCCCCAGGGAAATAACAGCTCTATTGAATAAAGCATCCAATCACCAGAAGCTGTAAGAATCATTCTCATATACGAAGAGGCGTGCAAACTTAGAATGACACGCAGAAGTGGTGCTGAGGAATGGGGGCGGGGGAAGTAGATAGAATGCTGGGTTAGAACTCAGTGGAATCCCTTACCACTCATTAGCTATCTAAACCTAAGCAAGCGGCCGGCGCGGCGGCTCACGCCTGTAATCCCAGCACTTCGGGAGGCCAAGGCAGGCAGATCACCTGAGGTCAGGAGTTCAAGACCAGCCTGTCCAACATGGTGAAACCCTGTCTCTACTAAAAATACAAAAATTTGGATGTGGTGGCGTGTGCCTGTAATCCCAGCTACTCAGGAGGCTGAGGTAAGAGAATCGCTTGAGCCTGGGAGATGGAGTTTTCAGTGAGCCGAGATCATGCCACTGCACTCCAGCCTGGGCGACAGAGCAAGACTCTGTCTCAGAAACAAACAAACAGACAAACAAACTAAACCTAAGCAAATCTGGGTTTCGCCACTCTGGAGTTTCTGAGTTTTTCCTCCAATGGAAACTTTTCTCTCAGTCCTTTAACATGCTTCAAAATTTGCCTTCTTAAATAATAAAATATAAACAGGGTGCCTTTTCTTGGTCAAAAACACCTGTCATGGGACCGGGCATGGTGGCTCATGCCTGTAGTCCTAGCACTTTGGGAGGCCAAGTCAGGTGGATCACTTTAGGTCAGGAGCTTGAGACCAGCCTGGCCAACATGGTGAAAACCCATCTCTACTAAAAATACAAAAAGTAGCCAGGCATGGTGGCGGGAGCCTGTAATCCCAGCTACTCAGGAGGCTGAGGCAGGAGAATCACTTGAACCTGGGAGGCAGAGTCTGCAGTGAGCCGAGATCACGCCATTGCACTCCAGCCTGGGCAACAGAGCAAGACTCTGTCTCAGAAAACAAAAACAAAAACAAACAACAACAACAACAAACACATCTGTCATGGGACAAACTCCAAAAAGTTTGTACATTGACATCCTCACCCCCAGTACCCCAGAATATGACCATATTGGGGGATTGGGTCTTTAAAGGGTTAATGAGGTTACTACGAGGTCACTAGGCTTCTAATCCAATATGACTGATGTCTTTACATGAAAAGGAGATTAGAACACAGACACAGAAGAAAAGACCATGTGAGGACACAGGAAGCAGATGGCCATCTACAAGCCAAGGAGAGAGGCCTCAGAAGGAACCAACCCTGCTGACACCGTGATCTCAGATTTTAGCCTTCAGAATTGTGAACAAGTAAATTTCTGTTGCTGAAGCCACTCAGCTGTGGTATTTTGTTATGGCAGCCCCAGCAAACTAATACAACTAATACAACACCTCACCTAATTAAGATAAAACGTATACAACACCAAGTTAAGAAATTGGTGCTTAATCGGGGATGCTTGCTCAAAAAGGCATGGAGCAAAATTGATAAGAGCAGCAACTCCTTTGTATGTTGCAAGGTGCCAAGTACTGTGCTGAGCACTCGGCATGGATTGAATCGTTTCACCCTCATAGTAGATCCTACAAACAGTATTATTATTCTCACTTTACAAATGAGAAAACAGAATCAAAGAGCTTGTGGCACTCACTTGGAATCACACAGCTAATCAGTGGCAGAGCTGAGATTGAAATCCATAGGCTGGGGCTGGCCGTGTTGGCTCACACCTGTAATCCCAACACTTTGGGAGGCTGAGGCGGGCGGATCACCTGAGGTCAAGAGTTCAAGACCAGCCTGGCCAACATGGTGAAACCCTGTCTCTACTAAAAATACAAAACATTTTCTGGGCATGGTGGCAGGCGCCTGTAATCGCAACTACTTGGGAGGCTAAGGAAGAAGAATCGCTTGAACCTGGGAGGCAGAGGTTGCAGTGAGCCGAGATAGTGCCACTGCATGCCAACCTGGGCAATAAGAGTGAAGCTCAGTCTCAAACAAACAAACAAACAAACAAGCAACAGCAACAAAGAAATCCATAGGCTGTGCTCCTAATCCTTAGGAGATCCTGTAGATTCTTCAAGAAAAGGATGCAACCTTTGCAAAAGGACTGTCTACCCCCGGTGCTTCTCTTCCTTCTTCCTCTTCATTTCTTACCTATTCAACTTGCTTTTTCATCTTCCCACCTTACTAAAACTGCTCTCTCATGGGTCAAATGTAACCTCTTAATTCCAAAACATTGAATAGGTCAATTGGCATTTGGTATCCATTCTTTCACCTTCTACGTCCCCCCAAATCAGTATTTCAGGGGATGAAAGGATACAAACTGGAATTTCCAGGATCCGTTATCATTAGAGTTCTAGGTACAATTTAGGAAATTCTGTATCTGATTTTGCTGTCTTTATCTAGTTGTTGGGTTTACTTTTTTCTTCCAACCCTTAAATGTTATCACCCAAGTCTCTGGCTTCGATTCCCTTCTTTTTTCCCACATGTTGTCTTTCTTGAGTTCATCTCCCAGGACATCATGCACAAATTTTAAGTAGGTAGCTCTCAGTGTCACCCAAGCCCCAGACTCACGTGTTTTATATCTGCTGGGACCTCTTCTATCTGCCCTGCTGTCACCTGAGACCCAGCAGAACTCCACACCTACCTTTGCCCACTCCATCTTGACCCTCTCGCCAATGCTGCTCTTCCCATCTCCTCCCAGTGCCTTTCCCATCTCCTTTCCAGTGCCACCATTCAGTCCCATCGTGGGTACCAAAGGGCTTTTGGGTCCCATTTCTCTTATTTCCTCTATCCAAACCATGCCACGGATCTCCTTTATTTCTCCCCTTTTTCAATTCTACTATTCTATTGACACAGCCTAGGTTCTTACTGATTTATCTAGGAATCTGATGCATTATCCTTTCTCTATAATTTCTTTCTTTTTTTTTAATTCATTTAACAAACTTTTCTGGTACACCCATCATATCAAGGCACTGGAGAAGCAAAAATAAAACATATAAGGTCATTGTCTAAAAGCGTTCATATTGGAGTACGGGAGACAGGCGCATGCATCTATGTGAAATACCCACAGGCATGTGTATATTTAACTGCAATAGGAAATAAATTGACATAACAGTGATCTGAGCAAACTGCCTTGGGACAAACTAGAGAGGAGGAATCAATTCAGTCTTTGATGACAGAAAGGGATTAACAGAGGAAATGATATTTGAACAGGGCCTTGTTGAATGAAGAGGATTTAGACAGGTGAAAAATTGGAAGGAGGGCATACCTAGGCTGAGAGAAGAGGATGAGGAAAGGGCGGAAGTCATGTGTGTGCTTGTTTGAGAGGTCAAATTGTTTGGAGGAGCTAGAGAACAGATGTGTGTGTGTGGTCAGGACGTGTCAGGAAAGAAGACTGGCAAAGTAAATTAGAGTCATGTTGAGAAGAGCTCTGACTATAATGTTACAGAAATTTATACCTTGTCTTGTAGGCAATGAGGTATTCATTCAAAATTTTAAGCCACAGCCATGACATTTTTATATTTGTTTTTTGAGCAACCTGTCAGAAAGCTTTCTGGAGAATAAATGAGAGCTATGGCTTTCTACCTGCATTCCAACAATTCCAAATAGAGTCATGGACACCAACAATTAGATATAAATTTAAGTCATGTATGTGACTGTGCATTTATCTGAACAAAGAGTCTGTGCTGACACTGTCCAACAAAAGCATAATGTGAGCCACACAAGTAGTTTTAAACCTTCTGGTAGCTACTTAAAAAATAAAAGGAAACAGCTGGGCATGGTGGCTCATGCCTGTAATCCCAACACTTTGGGAGGCCGAGGTGGGTGAGTCACTTGGGGCTAGGAGTTCGAGACAAGCCTGACCAACATGGTAAAACCCCTCTCTCCTAAGAATACAAAAATTAGCCAGGCATGGTGGTGGGTGCCTGTAATCCCAGCTACTCTGGAAGCTAAGGCAGGAGAATCGCTTGAACTCAGGAGGCAGAGGGTGCAGTGAGCAGAGATCGTGCCACTGTACTCCAGCCTGGGTGACAGAGTGAGACTCTGTCTCAAAAAAAGAAAAAAAAGGAAACAGATGAAATAAATTTTAATAATATTTAAATAACGTCTTTAACCCAATATATTCAAAACATTATCATTTCAACATGCAGTCAATATTTTAAAAATTAATAGATGTATTTTACATTCCCTTTTTATCCCCTCATATGTGATCTTTGAAATCAGCTGTGTATCTTACACTTACAGCACATCTCAATTTGGACCCGCCACAATTCAAGTGCCCTAGAGCCACCTGTGGCTAGTGGCTAACATATTGAACAGTGCAGGTCTATATATTTTGTTTGTTTGTAGAAATGGGGGCTCTCTATGTTGCTCAGGCTGGTCACAAACTTCTGGGCTCAACCTATCTTCCCACCTTGGTGTCCCAAATTGCTGGGACTACAGGTGAGAGCAACCACACTCAGCTGTCTATACATTTTTTTTTTTTGAGACGGAGTTTTCACTCTTGTCGTCCAGGCTGGAGTGCAGTGGTGCAATCTCAGCTCACTGCAATCTCCACCTCCTGGGTTCAAGCAGTTCTCCTGCCTCAGTCTCCTGAGTAGCTGGGATTACAGGCGCGCCACCATGCCCGGCTAATTTTTTGTATTTTTAGTAGAGATGGGGTTTTGCCATGTTGGCCAGGCTGGTCAGGAACTCCTGACCTCAGGTGATCTGCCCACCTGGGCCTCCCAAAGTGCTGGGATTACAGGAGTGAGCCACCACGCCAAGCCGAGGTCTACAGATTTTAAAAGATTCTCAAATGGGTTCATGGTCCACCAAAAGATTAAAAACTACTGAAGCAAGGGAGAGAAGCTCATCTGCTACCTCATCCTCCTGTTCTCCAACCAAGGAGCCTCTGGAAGCCTCCTGGCATGCTTGGGCCTCTCTCCATTGGTTGCTTCTGATGCCACCCAGCACTGGAATTGGCCCTCGAGAGGCTGCTGGAGCCTCCTGTGCCTAACGCCCTCAGCCATGTCAGCTTCATACTAACAGGATAAGAATAACTGCAAGAGGGGGCTTGCTATCCTAAGTCCACCGAGGGGTAAGCATGGGTTCCACTGCAATATCTGCTGGGGGCCTGTTCTGAGGGATGCTAAACAATTCCCAACTTCATGCTTTTCCTCAGACTACTCTGTCTCTCGCAGCTCTGATCATTTTTTTCTCTTCGGCAAGAAAAACATCCTCTTGCATGTTCATGCATTATTCCAGCTCTGTTGTTTGTGGCTAGGGTGACTGTCTCTCAGGCCAGGTTTACGCCTGTTGTCCCAGCATAATTATTAATGGTGCCTCCTTTCACAATCAAAAGTGTTCTGGTTTGGAAGACAAATGAAGATCTATTTTGAAACTCAAAAGCTGGGCTCTGAATAAATTCTTTCTCTCCTCTTCCTGTTGTTACAACCCTACCCGAAAGCAGGGGTGGCTCTTACGGAATGAGTGTGAGAAAGAGAGCACACTGACTACATGTTCAAAATACTCTCTTATCCCCCAAAACCAGAACGTTGTCTTATCATAATTCACAAATATCCATTATATGAAACCCAGAGCCCACTCTATACTTAATGGGGGAAACATTGTTTCGTGGTAATGAGTCATTACCGTTAAACCAGGAGGAAAACAACCAAAGCTGCTTACTAATGTCAATATTACTGTGAAAGTCCTCATAGCCAGTAGGATCAGGATCAGTATTTGGTTAGATAAGGGCTGATTAAAGCAGGGAAATTGTATTGATCTATATATGTATATATGTATAAAATAATCTATATGTATTCTATATATAATCTAGCACATATATAAAAATCTAATCAACTATAAATCAGTGGCGAAGTATTATTCAGGATACAACACTATTACCTTGTACTAAGCAACAAAACACATTTCACTTAAGTTAAATTCATTCATAAAAAAAATTTTTTTTTTGAGATGGAGTTTTGCTCTTGTCACCCAGGCTGGAGTACAATGGCATGATCTTGGCTCACTGAAACCTCCGCCTCCTGGGTTCAAACGATTCTCCTGCCTCAGCCTCCTGAGTAGCTGGGATTACAAGCATGTGCCGCCACATCTGAATAATTTTTTGTATTTTTAGTAGAGACAGGGTTTCACCAAGTTGGCCAGGCTGGTCTCGAACTCTTGACCTCAGGTGATCCACCCACCTTGGCCTCCCAAAGTGCTGGGATGACAGGCGTGAGCCACTGCGCCTGGCCAAATTCATTCAATGTTTTATTAAATATTACTTAAAATCTACCTTACCTTAATAAATTACTTTTATTAAATTAAAATGTTAAATGCTATAATTAAAGTAATGAATAGAAGAAAATATAGGCCCAAATTGACTTCAACCCTGGATGAGAAATTGATTCCAAATTGTAAAACAATAAAATAAACAACAAAGAAAAATATTGATATATTGACAACATATGCTTTAAAACCTCAATGATATCTTTTCAATTCAGCATAGGTAAATGTATAGAGAAGCAATATACTGGGAAAATATAATACATGTGGAAAAGGTTAATATTATGATATAAAGAGCTGTTGCATGGCCAGGAGTGGTGGCTCACGCCTATCATCCCAGCACTTTGGGAGGCCAAGGTGGGCGGATCACTGGAGCCCAGGAGTTTGAGACTAGCCTGGCAACATAATGAGACCTTGTCTCCACAAAATAAAAATACTAGCTGGACATGGTGGCATGCGCCTGTAGCCCCAGCTACTCAGGAGTTTGAGTGGGAGGATTGCTTGAGCCTAGGAGCTCTAGGCTACAGTGAGCCATGATCGCACCACTGCTCTACAGCCTGGGCGATAGAGTAAGACTCTGTCTCAGAAAAAAAGAGCCACTGCATAGATTTGGGAAAAATACTAAGATCTTAAGAGTTAAAGGAGTAGAGCATACACAAATAAACAGTAAGTAAACAGATTGCAGAATAGCAAACAGATGTCTAAGATAAACTTTGCAGAAAATGCTCCAAGGATGTGGATGCAAACAGCTAACTTGAGGCAGTTTGCCCAGGGTCTTCCCTTGGGATATCAGAGTGTGCATCTGAACCTCAGCATCCACACTCTTACTCCTCCAGGATGGAAGAGTGGATGGCAAGAGGAATCGATAAGCAAATCTATTGGTAAAGCACAACCATTGTTTTCTTTTAAACACACACATGTAATTGTCAAGTCATTCTCATTACAACAACTATGACAAACACAACAACAAACCCTAAATTGGGCAAATGACGAAATCTTCCATTTCAATGAATGATACTACTGGGCATCTCATACGTGATGGGATGGCAATATGGGAAAATACATTTTCAAGCAATTTGAATCTGTGTATGAATAGCCTTTAATCGTGCTACGTACTATACAGACATCCCTCAAGTTTGTTACACGTTTCTGAAAACCCACTCAAAAGCCAAACATGTGAAGACTGACCCCTAGGAAAATAAAAATTAAGGGCAATTGTTCTCAGATTTTAAAGTGGCCAAGATCCCTCTGAGGAATTTGTTTAAATACCATTTCTGGTTCCAACCCTTATCCCTGTTGAGGCAGAGGAATTTATATCCTTGGAAAGCCCACAGGTAATCCCCAGGCGGACAGGTTACAGGGCACCATGCTAATAAATAGTTCTGAGAGGAAGTTTCTATTACCAGGTTGCTAAAATCATGTAACATCCCTAAATTACACCTCACTTTTTAGATACATTTTTTACAATGCATTTTCGGCATTTCACGCGTCTCCTGATTTTAGTTTTTATTATTAAGCACATAGTCAAAGAACTGAAATATCGTAAGGATCAGAATGAGGGGTAAAAATTGCTGGTAGACATAATGCTTAGGGAATAATTCACTAATTTGTGTCTTAGGGACTCCACCTGGCACTTTGGCTGTATCTAATAATTTCTTTTTTCTACCTTCCATATTATTATTTTTTTTACCTTCTATGCATTTCAGTAAAATAATTAGGATAAATTCCATAAAATATTTAAATCACTCATGAATACTTCCTGTCATAGAGATGAATAAAAGCTCTCATGAAAATGTGCTGGAGTTTGGAGAATATCTGGAATTTTTTTTCTGGGCAAAGGGGATGCAGAATGGTGCACCCATGCAGAATAGCAGAGGACCAAGGTGCTAGGCTTACAATGTGATTTGTTTGAAGACCCTGTGGTTTCAAACTATGCTTGGATATGTCTTGGACCCCCTCTGAGGGGTATTAACAAACAAACAAACAAACAAATGTAAAATTCAAGAAGATTTTGCCAGAATCAAGAAGCCTGAAATATTTGTGTGTGGGTTTTTTGTTTGCTGTTTGTTTGTTTTTGAGATGGAGTCTCAGCCTGTCACCCAGGCTGGAGTACGGTGGCACGATCTCGGCTCACTGCAATCTCCACCTCCCCATTTCAAGTGATTCTCCTGCTTCAGCCTCTCAAATAGCTGGGACTACAGGCGTGTACCACCATGCCTGGCTAGTTTTTGTATTTTTAGTAGAGACGGGGTGTCACCATGTTGGCCAGGCTGGTCTCGAACTATTGACTTCAGGTGATCCACCCGCCTTGGCCTCCCAAAGTGCTGGGATTACAGGCATGAGCCACCACACCCTGCCTTGAAATATTTTTCAATTGATGTATGAAATTCCCAATTTAGCTTAGAATAGGTGGCTAAGAAGGTGAACATGAGAAAACTAGTATTATATAAAAGTTGGATATCTAAAAATCTAGGGCCACCCCTCATAATTTATCTTTTGTTGTTTGTTTGTTTGTTTGTTTTGTTTTGTTTTTTGGAGACAAAGTCTCCTCTCCCTCTGTTTCCTGGGCTGAAGTGCAATGGCATGATCATGGCTCACTGCAGCCTTGGCTTACCAGGTTCAAGCAATCTTCCCACTTCAATCTCTTGAGTAGCTGGGACCAAGGTGCACACCAACACACCGGAATTTTTTTTTTTTTTTAATAGAGATGAGGTCTCCCTACTTCCTATGTTGCCCAGGCTGTTCTTGAACTCCTAAACTCAAGCGATCCTCCCATCTCAGCCTCCCAAAGTACTGGAATTATAAATGTGAGCCACCATAACTGGCCTTATTTTTGAAAATATTCAGAATATATGGATGTTTTTACATAATACTTTTTTTTATATTTTCTTTATAATAGTTCATCTCTGACAATAATTGAAATGTCTAATAAGAGGGGTTGGTTAAAATAGTCATTAAATAATTTAGTGGTTATATAGTCATTAAATAATTTATAAATAATTTAATTTTATTAAAATATTTAGATATAATATTAAATAAGCAATATGGAAAATTTACATGTAGATGATCTCAATTAAGCAGAAAAAAAAGGGAATACTAAAATGGTAACACAGACTGACGAGCCCTAATCCAAACATCTGAAATGCAAAACTTTTTTGAGCACTAACATGACGCTCAAATAAAATACTCATTGGATCCTTTTAGCCTTTGGATTTTCAAATTAGGGATGCTCAACCAGTAAAATTCGAATGTTCCAAAATCCGGGGAAAAAAATTGAAACTCAAAGCACTTCAGGTCCCAAGCATTTCAGATAAGGGATGCTCAATTTGTAGTGGTGGGATTGTGGCTGTTTAGTTTGGCATGAGCCTGAATCTATACCTTCAGTTCCTGGGTAACAAACTGCAACTTAATTTAGAACATAAACAAATGGCAAACCTAATCTAGGAGTATAACAAACGGCAAGAGTCTCAGCCAAACACTAGCGCCGAACTTCAGCCAAGGAAAGGCGACCAACTTATCAGACCATGTCTAAGTAAGACAAACACCTCACTACAACCAGTCAAGCCATTTCTTTCTTTCTTTTTTTTTTAGACGGAGTCTAGCTCTGTTGCCCAGGCTGGAGTGCAGTGGAGTGATCTCGGCTTACTACAACCTCTGCCTCCTGGGTTCAAGCCATTCTCCTGCCTCAGCCTCCCAAGTAGCTAGGATTACAGGCGTGCGCCACTATGCCCGGCTACTTCTTTGTATTTTTAGTACAGACGAGGTTTCACTATGTTGGCCAGGCTGGTCTCAAACTCCTGACCTCAAGTGATCCACCTGCCTCAGGTTCCCAAAGTGCTGGGATTACAGGAGTGAGCCACTGCACCCAGCCTAGTCAAGCTATTTCTGTACTTTACTTCCATGTTCTATCTGTAAATACTCAGTGCTCACATTCTCTCTTTCTCTGTTTCTTTCCTTCTTTCCTTCCTTCCTTTCTCTCTCTCTCTCTCTTTCTTTCATTTCTTTCTTTCTTTTCTTTCTTTCTTTTCTTTTTTCTCTTCTTTTCCTTTCTTTCTTTCTTTCTTTCTTTCTTTCTTTCTTTCTTTCTTTCTTTCTTTCTTTCTTTCATTCTTTCTTTCTTTCTTTCCCTTCTTCTGCTTCCATTTTGTTTATTCAGTTTTTTTAGAGACAGGGTCTCACTCTGTTGTCCAGCCTGGAGTGCAGTGGTATGATCATAGCTCACTGCAGCCTCAAACTCTTGGTCTCATGGTCTCATGGGCTTATGGGATCCTCCTACCTCAACCGCCAAGTAGTTGGGACTACAGGCACCTGCCACTGCACCTTCCTAAATTATTTTAAATTTTTGGTAAAGACAGGGTCTCACTTTGTTGCCCAGGCTGATCCTGAACTCCTGGCTTCAAGTGATCCTCCTGCCTCAGTCTCCCAAAGTGCTGGGATTACAGGTCTGAGCCACTCACTGCACCTGGCCAGGAGTTCAAGATCAGCCTGGGCAAAAAAGCGAGACCCTGTCTTTACCAAAAAATGTAAATAATTTAGGAGCCCACATTTTAGAGAGGAGCTCTCTGAACCTCCTTCAGTTGTGAGTCCTGCCCAGTTAGGTATTTGCTCAAATAAACTGCAAAATATAGGTTGTCTAATGTTTTTCTTTTAAAAATAACTAACATGCATTTTTTAACCATATATTTCTATATTGTAAAGTGCTTTACAATAAAAATACATTACTTTTTTTTTTTGGGGGGGGGGACAGAGTTTCACTCTTGTTGCCCAGGCTGGAGTGCAATGGCACGATCTTGGCTCACCGCAACCTCCTCCTCCCAGGTTCAAGTGATTCTCCTGCCTCAGCCTGCCTAGTAGCTGGGATTACAAGCATGTGCCACCACGCCTGGCTAATTTTGTATTTTTAGTAGAGACAGGGTTTCTCCATGTTGGTCAGGCTGGTCTCAAACTCCCGACCTCAGGTAATCTGCCTGCCTCGGCCTCCCAAAGTGCTGGGATTATAGGCGTGAGCCACCACGCCTGGCCCAAAAATACATTACTTGTATATGGGAAAAATGTTTATTGTTAGTAAGAAAGTGTAAGTTTTGGAGTATGGAAGTTTCCAATCCATATTCTAGTTTTTCAATTCACTGGTTGAACAAGGCTCAGTTTATTCACCTGCAAAATGAGAAAAATCATATCTAAGTTAAAGTGTTGTTGTGAGACTTAATGAGCTAACCCATTGAGAGTGCATAGGGCTCCACAGACTCTTAAAGGGATACTAGTTCTTTCATTTAATTTATATCCATTCAAGTGAGGATGCAGGGAGGTATTAGTAATGTTCCCGTAGAACAAAGGTTTAATAGACATTGAATCCAGGTAAGTATTTGATAGAAACTGAAATAAAACATTTGATCCTGTTTTTTCAACGCATCAATGGACTTGAGATTTGGAATGCATTTCTTTATTTTTATTTTTATTTTTATTTTATTTTTTTTGAGACGAGTCTCGCTCTGTGGCCCAGGCTGGAGTGCAGTGGCGCGATCTAGACTCACTGCAAGCTCCGCCTCCCAGGTTCACGCCATTCTCCTGCCTCAGCCTCCCGAGTAGCTGGGACTACAGGCGACCGCCACCACACCCGGCTAATTTTTTGTATTTTCGGTAGAGACGGGGTTTCACCGTGTTAGTCAGGATGGTCTCGATCTCCTGACCTCGTGATCTGCCCGCCTAGGCCTCCCAAAGTGCTGGGATTACAGGCGTGAGCCACCGCGCCCGGCCTTGGAATGCATTTCTTTTACAAAATACACTGCTGTGCATATGATATAAGAACTATGGGCCAGGCGCGGTGGCTCACACCTGTAATCCCAGCACTTTCAAAGGCCGACGGGGGCGGATCACCTGAGGTCGGGAGTTTGAGACCAGCCTGGCCAACATAGAGAAACCTTGTCTTTACTAAAAAATACAAAATTAGCTGGGCGTGGTGGCACATGCCTGTAATCCCAGCTACTTGGGAGGCTGAGGCAGGAGAATCGCTTGAACCCGGGAGGCAGAGGTTGTGGTGAGCCTAGAGCCTAGATCACGCCATTGCACTCCAGACTGGTCACCAAAAGCGAATCTCTGTCTCAAAAAAAAAAAAAAAAGAACTGTGACAATGCAGATGTCCGCTGAATTTCAAAGTCAAATGCTGTCATGGAGCACCTCAAGCCATCTGTTCAACTGTTGATGAAACTGGAGATATAGCCTACAAACCAAGCAAAACTCTTATGATGTTAGAGAAACATATTACATCATGTTACAATCTACACAGGGTTGGCTAACCTAAAGTTTGCAGTCTTTTGGGATTTCCCCCAAATAAAATAATCTCACAATATAACAGGTTTAGATGCAAAAAAATCATTCTCACACAAAAGATATATTCTTGGTGATTTTTTATTACCATCACTAGGACTGAAAATTTAAGTTTGTGACATCTATTATCAATTGAAACTGTCCTCGTCACCATTACCTCCTTTTCCCTCATCCCTGTGTACTTTTCTAGCTCTGTTGATGAAATCGTTTTCTGATCATTTGTTTTCTAACTCCCAGACATTGTCTAAGAAGCATCCCTTGCTGGGCGCGGTGGCTCATGCCTGTGATCCCAGCACTTTAGGGGGCAGAGGCGGGTGGATCATGAGGTCAGGAGTTCGAGACCAGCCTGACCAACATAGTGAAACCCCGTCTCTACTAAAAATACAAAAATTAGCCTGGTGTGGTGGCGCACACCTATAATCCCAGCTACTCAGTAGACTGAGTCAGGAGAATCCGGGAGGTGGAGGTTGCAGTGAGCCAAGCCACTGTACTCCAGCCTGGGCAACAGAGTAAGACCTCATCTCAAAAAAAAAAAAAAAAAAAAAAAAAGAAGCATCCCTATCAGAGCAGAGGCAAGCAAGTTAAAGAAACAACTAAACAACTAGTGGATCTGAGGTTTCTGTATGACTCAAAGATGAAGGTATGGGATCAGATATGAGTGAGTGGGTGGGGCATGGTGGCTCACGCCTGTAATCCCAGCACTTTGGGAGGCTGAGGTGGGAGGATCACTTGAGCCCAGGAGTTCAAGACCAGTTTGGGCAACATGGCAAAACCCATCTCTACTAAAAATACAAAAAATTAGCCAGGCTTGGTGGTGCATCCCTATAGACTCAGCTACTCTGGGGGCTGAAGTGGGAGAATCACCTGACCCCAGGAAGTTGAGGCTGCAGTGAGCCGTGATCCTGCCACTGCACTCCAACCTGGGCAATGGACATAAGACCTTGTCTCAAAAAAAAAAAAAAAAAAAAAAAAAAAGAAGAAGAGAAGAGAAGTGAGTGAGTGAAGGGAGCTCCACTGGATTGGAAAAGGCCTTGGGAAAAGCCAGGGAGATATGGTGACAGACAGAATATCAGTTACCCCTTGTTACAGGTCAAATTATGTTCCTCAGGACATGCTGAGGTTCTAACCCCTGGTTTCTGTGCATGTGAACTTATTTAGAAATAAGGTCTTTGCAGATGTAATCAAGTTAAAATGAGGCCAGTAGACTGAACCCTAATCTGATAAGATTGGCGTCCTTGTTAGAAGAGGAGGAGACAGAAACACACAGAGAGGAGAACACCATGTGACCACAGAGACAGAGATGGAAATGCTGCAGCTGCAGGACAAGGATGCCAAGGATTGGCAGCCACCACCCAAAACCAGGAGGAGGCAAGGGACGTTTCCCCTAAGATTTCAGAGGGAGCACTGCCCCCACCAACCCCTTGATTACGGACTTCTAGCCTCTGGAACTCTGTGAGAAGAAATTTCTGTTGTTTTAAGACACCCTGTGTGTGATTGTATTTTGTCATGGCAATGCCAGGAAATTCATATACTAATGAAAGTAAAATAGGCCAAAGGAAGCTAGAGCATGAAACCTGTCTCTGGAACTGTCTTAGTGTTGCTGGTATTCGACAACTGATGGCAGCTGGTGGACATAATATTTAGGAAATAACTCATTAATTTGTGTCTTAAGGACTCCACCTGGCACATGAGGTCACCGCCTTCCAGAGGTAGTGGTATGTTGGGCTAATAAGGCAGGCAGAGTTGGATGCTAATATTAGGTTTATGTAATACCAAGTATTTTTAAATGAAGTCATGCCAAAAGATAGGATATAATGAAGAGAAACCACTAAGGCCTGAAACAGATAGGAAAGTCTGCATGGGAATGAGGTGGAACTTAAAAATCTCTGGAATGTTTTCTTCTGGTTGAATAAGGTGAGGAGTGGTGCAACCATTGAGAATTGCAAAGGATCAAGGTGCTCGGGCTTATACAATGTGATTTGTATGAAGACTTTAGGGCCTCACACCAAGCTTGACTCTGTTTTGCATCCTTTAAAAGTGATTTCTAATAAATACATACATATACATATACAAAGATAAATAAATAAATATTAAAAGGCCGAGGCTGGGTGTGGTGGCTCACGCCTGTAATCCCAGCACTTTGGTAGGCCAAGTCGGGTGGATCACCTGAGGTTGGGAGTTCGAGACCAGCCTGCTCAACATGGTGAAACCCTGTCTCTACTGAAAATACAAAAATTAGCCAGGCGTGGTTGCACATGCCTGTGATTCCAGCTACCTGGGAGGCTGAGGCAGAAGAATCACTTGAACCTGGGAGGCGGAGGTTGCAGTGAGCAGAGATCATGCCACTGCACTCCAGCCTGGGCAACAAGAGTGAAACTCCGTCTCAAAATAAATAAATAAATAAATAAATAAATAAATAAATAAATAAATAAATAAAATAAAAGGCCAGGCGCAGTGGCTCACACCTGTAATCCCAGAACTTTGGGAGGCCGAGGCGGGCGGATCACCTGAGGTCAGGAATTCTAGAGCAGTCTGGCCAACATGGTGAAACCCTGCCTCTACTAAAAATACAAAAATTAGCCGGGCGTGGTGGTGCATGCCTGTAATTCCCAGCTACTAGGGAGGCCGAGGCTGGAGAATCGCTTGAACCCAGGAGGCAGAGGTTGCAGTGAGTGGAGATCGTGCCATTGCACTCCAGCCTGGGCAACAAGAGCGAAACTCCATCTCAAATAAAATAAAATAAAATAAAATAAAAATTAAATTAAAGAGTCTTCTTTAATTTAATATGATAATATGAAACCAAAGAATAGACTGACTTCAGAGCTATTCACGAGGTCATCAGGTGCTTCTACTAGCTTTGATTTATTTACCCACCCAGGGTTTAATTCTACTGCCTGTGTCAGAGATCAATGTTACCTATCAATTTAGTTCACTTTATTAACTCCTAGTATGCTGACACTTGGGTAAAGAAGTTTAATCGATATTTTCTTGTGGTGAGCCGTGTGCATTTCTTCAATATTCATGAATTCCTGAATTCATGAGCCTACAGTACAGAATCTCGTTGTTACCAAATCCCCATGGATATGTCACTCCACCACGCTGGCGGTGTAATGACTCTTGATGAGAAAGTCCCCACAAAGGCACCAGCTGGGGAGGAGCCCCTCACCGTTGCTTTTCTAACAGGACAGCCGTGCAGTCCTTATGGGGCGGAGCTCGTTCTGAGGCCGGCCAGCTGTCTCCCTGTCACTGATCCTGCAGGGAGATATGTCGCTTTCGGAAGTGCGTGCAGGGCAGCCTAAGATTCACATTAATACAAGACAGAGGTCAAATGCTGTTCCGTACTAACTTTTGTTCCCTTCCAAATATATCAGGAACGTTTGCTTCGGGTCCTTCCAGACGGCAGGAATGTGTGCGGGGGAGAACAGAAGCTGGAGTGAGGATTGTTTTATTTTAATTCTGGCTCTGGGCTGGAAAGGGGTGACCTGACCTATTTTGTAAATAACCTGAACCAGAGTTTAAGAAATAATGGCATTGTGTATTGCCATGGTTAACAAGAATTTATGAAAAATTAATACGTCCTATTCTTTAAAAGCACAAATGGTGAAAATAATTTCTCCAGAGCATTTTAAATTCTTCCTGCTTCTCTAGAAACTGCTTTGAGATGCGATCAATGGATCTCCTGTAGCATCAGGCAACACGCCCGTCAGTCATGGGCTCCTTCCAGTGTCCTCCACACCTTGTCCTCTGTGGCCACTTGTTGGGAAATGAGCTTTGGTCATAGTCACCACGTGATTCCTGGGTTCTGAAGAACTTTATATTCAGAGAATAGGCACTGGGGTGAAGACAAACTGGGAATGAAAGGAAGCCAGGAGCCAACACTGAAACATTTTTTGTTAGTTTTTTGGATGGGAATTTCATGACATAGTATACACAATTATACAATATCCAGTATAACTAAGATAAATGTACATGTATCTGTTAACAAGCATGCTGGATCTTATCTATGAATAAGAGTTCTGGTCTCCAAAAAAGTGACTGTAGAAACGCATAGCATCTGTCAGTTTAGGTTGCATTACGTTACAGTCAAGAAATGACCCCAAATCCCTGTGGCTTATGACAGCTAGATTTTATCTCTCACCCATATGATGAGTCTGCCTCACATCACCTGTGGCTCTACTTCATGCCATTCTTATTCAGGGAACCACGGACCTCATCGGTTTTCTGGAAGAGAAAAAAGAGAAGTGGTAGACCACACAATGGCTTTTAAAGCTTTGTTTTGGAAGCACACACAGAACTTTTGGACATATGCTAATGGCTACAATAAGCCAAAGTGCCAAGCCTCAGTCAGGGGAGTAGGCCTATATTATCCTTTCTCAGGAATGGGTCCTGTGGGCAGGGAAGTGAATATTTTGGACAATAATACAATCAACCACCATCAAACATTTAATTCAAACAATATTTCTATTGGATGAAACAGACTGGGATTCCTTCTTCAGAATTATGTTCTGTGCCAGTTTACAATCCACATAAGGAAGTCATCTCTCCTTTAATAAATTCATCAATCAGTTAATTTTTTTTTGTTTTTTTGAGACGGAGTCTCACTCTGTCGCCCAGGCTGGAGTGCAGTGATGTGATCTCAGCTCACTGCAAACTCCACCTCCTGGGTTCAAGTGATTCTCCTGCCTCAGCCTCTCAAATTGTTGGGATCAGAGGCGCCCGCCACCACACTTGGCTAATTTTTGTATTTTTGGTAGAGACAGGGTTTTACCATGTTGGCCAGGCTGGTCTCGAACTCCTGACCTCATGTGATCCACCCACCTTGACTTCCCAAAGTGTTGGGATTACAGGCATGAGCCACCACACCCAGTAGTTAATTTTTTAACAAATTAGTTTATAAATTGTTATTCAACTAACTTTTACTGAGTGCCAGCTCTGTACCAAGAATAGTGGTAAGCACTGGTTAGAAAAACTCAAATAAGATACAGTTTCTGCCCTTAGAGAGCTTAGAGACTTTTCATATATCACATTGCTTTAATGGTACTCTAAAATGGAAATAGCCAGTTTAGTCTCCCTGGTGAGGAATAGCTCTGAATGATTTGGGCTTATTTCTAAAAGCCAAATCAGTATACTTCTCTATGGGAGCCCAAAACGATCCCAGAGAGGACACTCCCCCAAACCATATTGAACACATAGATTCTCCCCTCCACATTCAAACGCTGGTTACTGAGCTTCAGTAGCCTTTGCTATTCCTGGCATGTGAAATGCCTGCTCTATTGAGCTTGGATCCTGAATTTTATAAAGTATTTTCTCCAGGCCAGACACTGTGTAATCCTTCTAAACAAAAATCTAATTTAATCCTCCTAGAACTTACATCATTGTCACGTAAACTTTATTTTATATATGCAAAAACTGAAACCCCAGAAAAAAAGCAAGGAGGCCAGGCATGGTGGCTCGTGCCTGTAATCCTAACACTTTGGGAGGCCAAGGTGGGCAGATTGCCTGAGCTCATGAGTTCGAGACCAGCCTGGGCAACACAGTGAAACCCTGTCTCTACTAAAATACAAAAAATTAGCCAGGCATGGCGGTGTGTGCCTGTAGTCCCAGTTACTCGGGAGGCTGAGGCAGGAGAACCACTTGAACCCGGGAAGCGGAGGTTTTAGTGAGCCGAGATCGCGCCACTGCACTCCAGCCTGGGCGACAGAACGAGACTCCCTCTCCAAAAACAAAACAAAACAAAACAAAAAAAGCAAGGATATCCAAGCAGTAAGTGACTCAGGATTCAACCCAATGTTGACATCGAAGTCCAGGCACCAAACTACGGTGCAATAGTGTTCATCATCTGAAACTTAGCCTGAGGCTAAGTTTCAAACTTCTTAAATTATGGTACCTGCTTTGATTTTCTATTGGGCTTTTTTCCTTATGTACTCTTCAAGGAGGAGAACGTCACACAGATGACCTCAAACACTAGAGATTTGGTGTATGGATACACACAGAAACAAAGGAAATACAGGCAGGGCCAGTGGAAGCTCAGAAAGATTAAACAACTGGACCTCATCTTTTCTTGCTCATACGCAAGACATACATTAGAGGTCTATTAGATCTTCATAGACACCTATTCTAACCATGACCATAACTAGTATACTCTCTCTTCTCTGATTTTCTGACTTTTTTTTTTTTTTTTTTGAGACGGAGTCTCACTCTGGAGTGCAGTGGTGCAATCTCGGCTCACTGCAACCTCCACCTCCTGAGTTCAAGCAATTCTCTTGCCTCAGCCTCCCAAGTAGCTGGGATTACAGGTGCGTGCCACCACTGGCTAATTTTTGTCTTTTTAGTAGAGAAGGGGTTTCACCATCTTGGCCAGGCTGGTCTTGAACTCTTGACCTTGTGATCCATCCGCCTTGGCCTCCCAAAGTGCTGGGATTACAGACATGAGTCACCACATCTGGCTTGGTTTTCTGACTCTTTAAGCTTATGTTATTGCTATCAAATGACAAAGTTAGCTACAGATAGAGAGAGAGATAGATAGATAGATAGATAGATAGATAGATAGATAGATAGATGGATGATAGAGAGATAACCCTAGTTCAAGCTCATCAAAAGGAGAAATCTGATGGACAGCCACCTCCCATTATCTCTGCATGGGTGGCAGATTGGCTCCCTTTGAGTCCAGCATGCTCTCCTAGTCTGGTGTCTGTAGCTGTAGGGGCAGATGAATGTGATACTTCTACAGCTATCTATACTACTATCTAGGTCTCCTTCTTCACCTGGGCTATCGGGTCTGGGAAAGAGTTAAGGAAGTGGCAGGTGCCATGATGGAGCCATTCTGGCCACTCCTTCAGCTACATTTGTCAATCTGAATCTTAGTTTAACCATCTCCTGCGTTCACCGCTTATATGATGTCATAAGCACATGCAGGTCAAAGGTGGCTCTGCCTTCTCTTCACTCTCATTTTGCCCTCTTCACCTCTACCCATCCACATCTCAGAAGTAAGAGTACGGCGCAGAGGCCTTGCTGACATCTAATAAGCATGGGCTAATGAATCAAAAAACCCACAACCACCTGCTCCCTGGGTCTTAAGGGAAAATATAGGGATTGAGCTGAATACATGGTCATTCCCTTTCCTATTAATTTCCCCAGCTCATCTGTGGGTTGTGTTCTCTGCTCCACTGGGGTGACACAAACATGACAGATGGCACTCTCATAGACAAGGAGTTTATTCTGCGACACAGTGAGAGCTATATATTTTGCTATAAAACTCTTATAAATCACTCATATATTCTGGGTAGAATCACCATGACACAAGAGAGATAAATGTTATTTAATACATGTGAACAGTTGAAATTTGTGAACCGCAAGAGCATAGATTCATATGTATCAGTGAATCATAAATATAGATTTCATTTTGAGGTTTTGATGTAAACATACAGTATTAATAAACAAAGTTAATGACTTTCTAGAAAATAAAGGTTTCTTATATGGTGGAGGAATAAATATTGAATAATCAGTAAATTGAAGAATTTACAAACTTTGTGCATCAAAAACACTTTAACAATTTAAAAAGTAAACTATGATAATCTAAGAAATAATTATAGCTATAAAAGGACAAAACAAGCACGTACGGATTTATCAATAAATCCATAAGTTAAAGGGAAGCTATTAAGATAAATAAAGAGATAACCAAGGGGAAAACATTAGCATTAGAATGGCGTCCAACCTAGGCTAGAAAGAAAACACATGAATAGGTACAGACAAGATCAAGAATGTGATCTTACGCTTATCACACTGGGAATGCAATGTCAGTCTTCGGCAAACTAGTCATATGGAAATCTTGTATCTTTGTATAGTAGAGGAAGAATTATAAGCTCTTCTACTTTTTCTTTTTTTTTTTTTTTTTACTTTTTTTCTTATTACAAATTATACATATTCATCATAGAACACACAGATATGTCAAAAGAAGGGTAAAAGACCATCTGCGGTCATCTATAGTTCAGAAATATACTTAGATCGTAATCATAATCTTTTAAAAAATTTAATGGCATACTATGAAAATTATTCAATAAAATTGTAAATTATTCTGTAATATAGTAAAAGCCAATAATAGCATCAAAGATGATTTCGAGCTGAAGTAAACCCTAGGTTACTTAGTCTGACCTTTATAACAATCCCTTCATAATCTCTGCAAATGACTGTGAGTACTTTTCTTGACCACTTCATTGACCTATATCAAAATCTCCAAATCATCACTTTGCCAGGAAATTCTTTCAATTTCCGAAAGCTTTAATTTTGAGAAGTCTTTTGCTATCCTGATTTTTGCCTACCCTTATTTTCTCTCCAGAACAGCACTGGGTTTCGGGTCCACTTCAACTTATTCCCATCCTCTGGCATCGTAACTGTGACTACATCAGGGTGACTTTACTATACAAACTCTTTTAATCTCTAAAATTAGCCTAGTAGCATTTATCTTACATTCCTCATAGAGTTGTTTAAAAAAATCAAGAAAGAAAATGTTTATAAAAATGACAATACATTTGAAGCATTATCTGAATAATAAACATATTTCCTCTTTTACCTTTACTGTTTGAAAATGTTATCATTTTCACCTCAGTTCCTACTCCAAGATGCCTGATTCTCTCTTGCATCTCTTATAAATTATAATATTCAGAATCATCATCTTATCAACTCCTTTGGATACATGCCAATTTGTGAATATCTCCTGTAAAAAGTGCCACACTGAACTAAGCAGGATGATCCTGATGTGGCTGAATAAGTGGAAAATAAAATGATTGTTCTGTCATGAATCTGCCCGGCTGTCCGCTGCTGTGCATGCTGAGATGCAAGCGTTTTTATTATTACGGATGTCTGTGTCATTTATAAAGGATTTAAGAAATGTCTTTGAAAAACTCTTTTAAAGGTAGCAAAATGACGAAAAGACTAAATATAGAATAATAAACACTGACGATTTATTTTCCCTTAACCACACAACTGATGGGGTATAGATGTCCTTTAAATCATCCAGTTTTGCTCTTCATTAACTGAAGGACAGAGGGCTTGAATTATTATCTAAAATGAAGTTTAAGATAGATCTGTGACTTTAAGTCACCCATGATTTCACTTACACTGTCTTTTCAGTGCTATGAAGAGCTATAATGAGCCCTGAAAATAACAAGCACAAAATACAATGATCTACTTGGTTTTCTCAGTAACTGTTTCTCTCTTTTCTAGAAAGGCAATTCGAAGGCAAATTATTGGTAACTTATCTGAAAATAACATGACCCGTTCTGAAATAACATAAATGACTATTTACCAAGTTGGACAGATGATTTCATGAATTGTTAGCTCTTCTGTGCAAAGGCAGGCAGGAATGAGAGTCAGCTGTGTTAACCCTTTGCTTTCCTTTGAGTCAAACAGTTTGTATGAACAAACAGGGCAGTCATCCACTCTCCCAGCTCTATTTGCTGTCTGCCTTCAGCAAGTCACTTTATCATTCCTCCACTCTGTTTCTCCACCTGGAAAATCTGGAATATCATACCTATAACTCCTTTTTTTTTCGAAGACTGTTGAGATCTTTAGAAGAAATACATTCTACACTTTCAAAGATTTATGACAGTATTTTGTTTTTAGCTGCCTACCTAAAGAAAGGGAATGAACTGGAGTTGTTGAAGCAATAAGGATATGCCATTTGAGGTTAGACTGTGGTTAGCAGGAACCAACTGCTAAACGTGGTTTTGTTTTGTATTTCCTTTGTCAATTTCAGCTGATTTCAGGCAGGCCCATTCTGAGAATAAGGCTGCATTTCACAATTCCTGTAATGTGCCCACGTAAGAAAGAAGGCAGGTAGTCTGTTTGGTGATAGTATATTTCAAGAACTAATTGTTATTTCCTGTGAATTTGCAACCCAATGTGCTGTGAGTTGAGTTGGAACTAGAATATCAAATACCAAATAGCATACAAAAGGGATAACACTGCAAAAAAAAAATTCAAGTCAAAAATCAAAACAGAGCTCAGAGATTTCAGAAGCAATGGCTTCTTGTCAAGAATAACTGTCATTAAAATTTCCATAAGCACCAGTGAAATTGATTTTGGGGAAAAGTCTAAGGGAGGGTCTGTTTTATAAGACACACTGAAACTTTATTTTATTCTGAATTTCCCCAGCCAAGTTTGTAAGATCTCAGATTTTTCTTGGGCCCTTTCCCTGCCAAGGGGCCAAAGGTTTATCTCTATTGACACATACAGATAAAAAATTTTCATCCAGGAACCTCTATCAGCAGAGTCTGAATAGTCGTCTTTGGCTGGTGAATCACACTAAGGGAGTCTCAGTCCTGAGATGATCAGTGGTGAGAAGTTCAAAAAATAATGAAAAGAGCAAGCACTTAGGCGTCACAATACGCTTCTGGTATAACGCACCAAGCCGATGGAGCACAAGAATTGGTCTGGCGTCATTGTTTTATGTTCTCTGGATGTTGAAGAGTCTGATTTGCATTAGAAACCTCTGCATTCAATAAACAAAAATCAGGATAATAATGACCAAAGTACTATTTGGAACAGAAAACAAATTCAAGCAATGGGTGTTTTGCACTGAATTCATTCAAGATTTTATTAGTTAAGCTCTCACTTAGGTTATTAGGCTCAGCTTGCTTTTTATTTCACTGGCCTCAGTTACTGCAAACAAAAGGAGCCTGGTGTGTGTGTGTGTGTGTGTGTGTGTGTGTGTGTAAGCGCACGTGTATGAGAATGTCAGACATATCACACACAGGCTTTCTACATTCTTCACATTGGAAACCCATCAGCAAAAGGAAGAAGATCTGAAGGGAATGAGTGTTTTTTTTTTGTTTTTTGTTTTTTTCTGGTTTAGGGGATGGAGGGAGAATTTCTCTACATAAACAAGAAGGTTAGAATTGGAAGTCTGCTAAAAAAAATGTTAGAGCTGACCACAGGGTTGTAAATCCACTGACTGGAAGGAGGAAAAGAGAAACATTGCAAGCGACTGAAGTGTGTGGTGTGGCTGCAATGTTTGTGGGTTAGATGAGAAACAAGCGCTGAGTGAAACAGAGAAGGGGGGTGGCTGGTGTGATTTGTTTGGTGTTCAGAGCCAATAGAAATCCCAGACTCTGATAATATCCCCATGCAGCGCCGAGAGGATTCAGAGCTAAGTCTCCGGGCTCCTTTCACATCTGCAGGAGCAGCCAGCCTGGGACCGCGCGGCGCGGGGCGCGCTCTCGCCTCTCCTGCACCCTCAGCCGGCGCGCTTCTCTTATGGGCGTCTGCTGCAGTCTGGCTGCGGTCGAACTGAAAGCGGCGGCGGGAGACCAAACTTAGACCCCGCTGTGGACTAGAGAACTCAGAGAAGGCAGAGGGAGAGGGAGAGAGAGAGAGAGAAGGGACCCGAGGAGGAGGCTTCCATCACGTCATTGCAGGTACGCAGCTTGTCACGACTAACGTGACACAGACACGGTTTCTGATTTCTACCTTCACCAGGCACTTAGAATGAATTGACGTTGTTTGTTCCGTGGCTGGTCAGGACCGAAAGCCCTGAGTGGACGTCTCGCCGGTTTCACCCCGGGTAATTCAAGCTGTTGGCGTGTGTCTGGGGGCCACAAGGTTTATTCACCTATTGAATTATGCGTGGGTGTAACATAAGGACCTTCAAACTTGACCGTGATCGCTCTTTCTTTCTCTTTTAAATAACGTCAATACCAATATGTTGTCATCCCACCAATAAATACCTCTTGGTGACCGCCATTCTAATCATGACTATAGCGAGGCAAACACCATCCAATTGTTAGAAAGCGGGCTACGAACCTCTCCCACCTACCTACCAGGTTAATATCCTCCCTACAGGAATAGGAACCACAGCGGACTTCGGCAGAGTTTTGATTTTTTAAAGCATATGGCCAAGGTGCACCCGCCTCATGAGGGAAATATCACTATTATCACTACGCTGTGGTTGAAGGAGAAGAGAGAAGGGAGGTAGTTATTTTTTAACGTGATTGTCAGTGATCCTTCCTGTGTACCTGACTTATTTCTACATTGTCTTACGAGTTTAAAAATGCATTTGTATTCTGCACGCCAGGCACGTTCAGTTCCAGGATCTCACATATTACTACATTAAAAAGTCATGAATTGGAACTATCTAGTAGATGTGATAGTTGTAAGAAAATATTGATGTTTGATTTTATTTTATTTGATCCTAAAACTCATAAACTTCTATTTCTTTTTTTTTTTTATTTTGAGGTGTGGGTTTTGTTAAAAAAATCTATTTCCTGAGATTTTATCATGTTTGATTTGAAATTTTAAAGATAGTTATATAACTCCCCACCCCTTGATGACTTGTGATTAAATTAGCATTGCTTAATGAGTTCAGTCTTTCCTGGGAAAAGCCAGAGGGGACTGCAAGAAGTCAGTTAAAAAATTGGTCTTGCTTTGCAGTCTTCAAGGGCTGGCTGGTATTCATGTGGCTCTGAATCCCTATGAAAAGCGCTTTTTCTGCAGTGGAACAGATTGGGACTCCAGTACAGCCAGAGAATGGCTCTGCAGCAGGTGCAGGGGCAATCAAATACCTTACCTTTCGTCTAAACAGCACTCTTCCCAGTGGAGTCTTAGTCGATCATATCCAAACCATTCACTGATAATTCGCAATCGACTCACCATTCAGCCGTGCTTAGCTTTCAAGGTAGCCTTTGTCCCAAGACATGTGCCCGACCAAGGAAGATAAGAAAGTTATAAGAAAGGTATTTGTGTTGTATATCACAGTGGAGAATTTATATCGACCTTTTTTTGTTTGTTTGTTTTTTGTTTCTTATCAGATGAACATGTTCTTTCTGTCATTAAAGGAAATGCATGCTTAGCTCTACCATAGAGTCAGGAAAACTTCATAGTTTTTGCCCATCGACTGATCTGAATGATTTAACTGGGTGCTTTTTGAAATCGTGTCAAAGTATAGACATGGCAAGTGAATATTATATTTGGGAGAAGGCATTTTAACTTTATAGATAAATTTTTTTTCCTTTTACATCAGAAAGAAACTGTAAAGAACTGATCTGTGCAAATAAATATAAGTTAATCGACCCAACTACATTCTATTGGTAAAGAGTTGTTTTGTATGATTGTGAGCATTTGTCAATCTTTTATAAATAAAATAGCTGCAATAAGTTGGGACCTATTTCTGTCTTATCTTTCTAACTCTAAAGCAATGTTGGGTGTGTTGGTAGCAACTTTGTGAGTGTGAGACGGATTATATTCACTTTGTATAGACTAGGAGACACTGATGGCTTTTCAAAGATAAATATAAACAATGCTGTGATTATTCATTGTTTTTTGCTATCATTCTTCACCGAGAGAGGTAATCAACAGTTCATTCTCTATGAATCTTAGTAGAGCCAGCCAGAGCTTTACATACCCTCGAGTTATAAGTTTGGTAAAGTTTAAACAAGGTACATGCCTTTAAATCTCTTTAAAGTAAACATCTCTTTTTCTAATGCAAAGGAATGGTATTAGACTCTCAGTTCTTATTGATATGGAGAGGATTGGCCTGTCTGGGTCAAGGGCAGACACTGAGAGACTGCAGAGGCACAGGCACTCAACAGATTAGTTCAGCCACTTTTGTACTTCAGTGTTGCTACAGCAATTGCCCCTGTGCAACGTGCCAGGTTGCAGGCATGTTCTCAGTATCAGGGTCCTTCAAATATCTACGGACAAAAAAGAATTATTTCAACCAGGGAAAACGTGCCCAGCACTCGGCTTAAATGGGTCACACAAGACATTGTTTTGAAGGACAAGGTGTTCAATTAAAAATTAGACCTATGGTGCCATCTTCTTCTTGGATTAGCTGCTTCTTGATAGTTCTTTTGTTTCTAATAATATTAGGTATAATAGGCCTAATAATGTCTAGAATTAATTTTGATCACATGTCAGGCTAAAATGTGGTCCTCAGACTCAACACTGACCAATGACTTGAGCAGATTTCCCATCACCACCACTTCCAGTTGGAAAGATGTCTTTAAGTGGCCAGCACATTGATGGGACCCAGACGGTGTTGGCGCACTGATTTGTAGAACAGAGTCCCAGAGCCACATGGATGTTAAGGGGATGGAACGTGAGCGGGTGGAAGCACAAGGGTATAAAGTGACATGATATAAAGATTGACATGCTTCAGTATAAATCCTGGAGCCAAAGGAAAATGAAAATGAATGTATTTCCTCTAATTACCTTCAGATATAGATTTTTGATTAGCTTCAAGTATACATTTTTGATGAGACATCCTGAATATTTTAAATAAACTCTCTTGTGTTCTTAGGTATATCCCACACAGGTGTGGGGGGAAAATAAATGCATTTGATGTACTGTAACACTCCTGTCTATACAGGCCAGGAGAGGGCAGCATGCAAACTCTGAAAAAGTGATTTGATACCTCCCCCTGACCATGAGGAAGACTCCGGTCGCCAAATGGCTAAAAAATCTCCCTCCAACTTGAAGTGCCCTCTTCCCTTTGGAGAGCCAACTCTAGAGTCTTAGTAAAGGCACACCATCCAGAAGGGTTTGTTTCTATTTTGGCCTCCAGAATTGGTGCTACCTGGCAAAATCAGAAAAGCAGCAGCATATTTCACAGTGAACTCAATTTCCCTTTCTTTTAATTAGCTTTACCCTTTGAGCCTATTCAAGCAGGGGAACACTTGACCAGCTCCTATGAAATGCTAAGTTGACTTCGTCTAGAACAAACATTGTCTGCATTAAAAATATTATTCAACCTGGCTCTATAGGTGTGACTGTAAAGGCTGAGAGGAAGCTAATCTTATCATCTATGGAAAACTAGCTGCTTCTCTCTGCTTTTATGCAATTATAACACGAACCCTGGATAATGCATTGTATTTTCTAATTATGGTAGCTACGTTTTGGGAAAGTTGATGGATGTGTGACATTGTACTTAGAGTTAATAAAAATCCAGCAGCTCTGTAATGAGATTTCTCTGCCTTTGCTAGGAATTTAAATCTCATCAGCATTTCAAACGATCTTTACTTTTCTCTTATTGATAATGTTTAAAAATTAAGATTGTTCTAACATTTGTTGAATGCATACCATGTGCCAGATTAGAGTAGACACATCTCACAGATTATTTAATTCAGTCTTCACCACAGTCTCAGGAGTTTATCTTCTGCAAGTTTTACTGAGAATTTCTTGTAACCGTAACATCTGATAGCTGAGAACATATTCCTTCAGTCAGTCAGTCCTACAGGCATGCATTCAACAGATATCTATTGAGTCTCTTTGTATAATTATAAGATAATAACAATTAATCATCAACAGTATGGTTGCTTTTACTAGTATAGTCCTTTACATTATATTTTCACATACATTCTTGTGTTTAATTCCTGTATTTCACATACATTCTTGTGTTTATTTCACACATTCTTGCATTTAATTCCTGCCAGTTATTCACATATGCAAAAACAATAACAGCAAACATCTTCTATAGCACTAGCCCATCATTAAATGATTGAATTTACATATATGATTTCAATCATGATGGAATATTGATTGATTTAGTTTCAGATCCACAGGAGTGGATTTGATCAGATGTTTATCATCCATCTAATAGACGAAAAACAGATGAAAAATATTCACCCTCAGGCCCACTACTTGAGAGCAACATAGATCTGTGTAAACTTTAACTTCTCTGCTAAGAGCGTGCTCAGTGTCTGGAGGCACCATCCCCTGGCCTGCAGAGACCACCTTTCATGGTTCCTTATGAAAACTTGGAGCAATGCAGAAATATGTGTCTTCAAACATACGTATTTAAGACTTCAACTTGACCAATGGTATGGAAAATACACTTACAATGTCATTTCTATGAACTCAGAGAATGTAAACTTTGAAGGAAACAGGCAAAAAGCATCACTTTCTGTCAGAGGGTCTAATAGTATTAAGACTTTTTTTGACCTAGAAGAGAGTTATCTAGTAATTATGAAAAAAAAAATTTAACCTAAGAAACTCAGGAGACCTGGGTTTGCACCTGTTTCCATTTTTCACATCCTTGGGGAAAGTCTACACTCTCTCTTGAGTTTACTCTTTACAATGAGAAGGCGGAAGTGGCTCACTGGGCTTCATTCCAGCTGTAAACATCAATTCTACGTGCTTCCCTCTGAGAAATGGCTGACAGTTGTTAGTTAAAGAATGATTATTTGCTAAACATTTTATAGGTATCATCTAATCCTTACAAAAATCTTAGCTAGTAGTGTTATTATCCTCATTTACAGATGACATTACTAAGACTTAGAGCTTTCAAAAAGTGACACAGTCAAGCATGCTGTAGAATCATTTCAATCTGGCAGGGCTCAGTGGCTCACGCCTGTAATCCCAGCATTTTGGGAGGCCGAGGTGGGTGGATCACTTGAGGTCAGGAGTTTGAGACCAGCCTGGCCAACATGGTGAAATCCCGTCTCTACTAAAAATACAAAATTAGCCGGGCATGGTGGTGCACGCCTGTAATCCCAGCTACTTGGGAGGCTGTGGCAGGAGAATGGCTTGAACCTGGGAGGTGGAGGTTGCAGTGAGCTGAGATCGCGCCACTGCACTCCAGCCTGGGCAACAGGAGCGAAACTCCACCTCAAAAAAAAAAAAAAAAAAGAACTGTTTCAATCTTAACTCTTCCACACTTCCTCTAGTATGTTGTGCCTTCATTCACTTACAAGTACTGAAAAGATACTATGTGCATAAAGCAGTGTTCAAGATTATAGGGCATAATAGTGAAGAAGACAGTTAAGGTACCTTAAAGAGCTCAATACTAGTAGGAAAGACCAGGAATAACCTAATGATTACAGTGGTGTTTGTTGGGTATTATAACCAGGATCCTCCGAAAATCTATGGCATTGTTTTGGCCTTACTAACAAAGCCATTTGACAACACAAGTCTTTTCATTGTAATAGCTCAAATTTTTTCTTTACATCATTTCAGATATTTTTTCCACTGGAGTTTAATATGGTTTTAGTCTTCCTTGTATAATTATTTTTGTAACATGTTTACATCTTTCACTAACTTTCAAGCTCCCCTGAGGGCAGAGGCTATTTCTTGTTCTTCTTTTTATTTCTCAGCACAAAACTGATGCTTAAGGAACTATTTCTGATCTGAATCTATTGAGATCCAGCTGCAGCTAATTTAGAGCTAGGATCAGAGACTGCTGCTTATCTGCTGAAAGACACAGTCTTCAAAAAATTCTAAACACACACATCTACCATAGGCTAAACAAATGACAAACCCAGTCTTTTGTCCTGGGAACTTTTTGTTTTTTTTCTTTTTGTCTTGTGTTATTTATCCCTTATGCTACAGACTCCTAAATGTTTAAAATGATCATTTCAGTGAGAAAATAAAAATGTCATGAAAAATCAATTAATTTTTTAAAAATTTACGACTTAGACATTAAAATACTAAATCAACAATTTTGATAGGTTTTGTTTTTCCAAGTAGAAGAAAATTTATTTATTTATTATTAGAGAATGCCAAGGTGTTCCTGTAAATTTATCTGTCATTCCCCTGGGATGGCCTGTTCATAACAACCTGGAATGCACGCTGACTTTCTGGGCTCATTGCTTCCCCTTGGAAATTAACAAATTCTTGCTCAAGCAGAAGAAAATGATAAGATTACTGAAAATTCTGGAAACGCTGTGATTTTTGGATTAGAAGATTTAATTTAGGAGATGCAGGAGAGTTTTTAAGGGGACTAATTTGTTCTATGTGGTTTTCAGAGGTTAGATTTTTAAAAAATCTCTATAAGGATACTTTTTACCTTGGTGATTTTTTATTTGTTTGTTTGTTTGTTTTTTGAGACAAGGTCTCATTCTGCTGCCCAGGCTGGAGTGCAGTGGTGCAGTGGCATGATCTCGACTCACTGCAGCCTCAACCTCTCACGTTCAAGTGATCCCCCCACCTCAGCCTCCGAAGTAGCTGAGACTAGAGGCATGTGCCACCATGCCTGGCTAATTTTTCAATTTTTTTGGAGATGTTTGGAATGCTTGTTCCTTGGTGCCATAAAGAAATAGCACTTGAACATAAATTTAATATATTTAGTAAGGCCATTTTTACTTCCGTAGAAAGGGTACACTCGCCAGCAGTTTTGCCACGAGAGTACACTGAACAAAGGAAACAGGGTCATTTATAACCTGACGCATCCATCCTACTGCTGTGTCTGGTTTCCATTGGCTGGAACGGGACCTCACATTCTGTATTTGTCCCGATTGGCTAGCAACTTAGAACTTTTTAAAAGAGGCAAAGGTAGAGGAGAACAAAGGAAGGAGGAAGTAACTTGTGGAATGCTGAGAAAGGTAAAAACACTTTTAAATAAGGAAGAGGAACAGGCTATGACCTAATGCTTGCTTGGACCAGTATAAGCATGCCAGGGCAAATATTTAGGAGCACAGGTCTGAATAAATTTTGCTTCTAAGAGAAGTTACTATTTATTCCTAATTAGATGGGGAGGAAAGTCTTTGAAGAGGAACCTCTACTTTTACTTTTTACAAAGAGATGGGTCTCACCATGTTTGCCAAGCTGGTCCCGAACTCGGGGGCTCAAGCGAGCCTCCTGCCTTGGCCTCACAAAGTGCTGGGATTATAGGCGGGAGCCACCATGCCCAGCCTACTTTGGTGTTCTATAAGAATTGAGGGGAATCTGTGACATTTGATAGAAAAAAAAATTGCTTCTTGACTTCCACTTACCTGTAACTGAAATATCACATTCTCTTTAGTTACGAATGTAACAAACCACAGTAACATCAGTGGAATCACAGCTTTGTCACCAATAGAAATCAGAATTACTTTCATGTTACAGTTGATACCAGAGTCTCAAAATATCACTTACACTTACCTAGTACTTAAAACTACTTGAAAATTATGGAAGTGATCATACCTGCTTTTAGATCTCATTATTTAGTCCCTTATAAACAGGACCAGACAATTGTATATCATACATTTTATACACACACACACACACACACACACACACATACGTATAGTTATATAAAGCTGATCTAATTGGGATATTTGTCCCCTCCACATCACATGTTGAAATGTGACCCCCAATACTGGAGGTAGGGCCTGGTGGGAGGTGTTTTCATCCTGGGGGTAGATCCCGCATTAATGGCTTGGTGCCCTCCCCACGGTAATGAGTGGGTTCTCCCTCAGTGCATTCATTCACTTGAAAGCTCGTTCTTTAAAGAGAGCCCGGCACCTCCCTTCCTTCTCTCCTGCTCCCTCTCTTACTGTGTGACACCCCTGCCTCCCCTTAACCCCTCGCCGTGAGTGGAAGCCTGTTAAGGCCCTCATTAGAAGCCAAGCAGAAGATGCCAGCACCATGTTTCTTGTACATCTGCAGAGCTGTGAGTCAAATAAACCTCTTTTCCTTATAAATTACCCAGCCTCCTTGGATATTCCATGATAGCAGTGCAAATGGACTAACACAATAGCATATATATATATATAAAATACATATATAACACAATAGCATATATAAAATACATATATAATAACACAATAACATATATGTGTGTGTGTATGTATATGTATGTATATATAGCTTGCCTTGTAATAGTATATACTTTTTGAATTTAAAAACATTATTCTGAGAAGGAATCATTAAGGTTCATCAGACTTTAAGGCAGTCCATGGGGAAGAACAGGTAAAAAATCCCACACAGTAGGGCAGTAAATTTGATGTCAACCTTTCTAACACCTTCAGCTGTCTTAAATGGGATGGGTAGCCATGTGAGCCAATGAAGTTTGTGCTGGAGGGGGAGATGGATGGGAGATGGATGGGAGATGGATGGGAGATGGATGGGAGATGGATGGGAGAGGAGCCATGCCTCAGATATGGAGTTGGGCCTTGATGGTAAAACCCAACACTGAGGCTCTTTAGGCTCAAGAGAAAGAGAAGAGGAGATGTGTATCTCTTCCGTTTACTTGAATTTGCTCTAGTTTGAGTCAAATGGCTTCTATAAAGAGGGAAGAGTCCCTGAGTGTATACCTCATGCCACTTCTCTTTGTATTTGAAACTGGATGGTCTCAAGCACCAGTAATTACTTGTTGGATGAGTGAATTGAATGGCTCAAGGCCGCAGTTGATGATCAGGTGTGGCTGGTGCCCTGGAGTCACAGCCTATCTGCATGAGTTCCCATTGATAGCTCCGCACCGCACCGCATTCACCGCCTTGGAATTCTCTCTATTTTATTTTTTTTTGAGACGAGTCTCGCTCTGTCGCAGCTCTGTCACCCAGGCTGGAGTGCAATGGTGCGATCTCAGCTCACTGCAAGCTCCACCTCCCGGGTTCACGCCATTCTCCTGCCTCAGCCTCCCGAGTAGCTGGGACTACAGGCGCCCGCCACCACACCCGGCTAGTATTTTGTATTTTTAGTAGAGAAGGGGTTTCACCATGTTAGCCAGGATGGTCTCGATCTCCTGACCTCGTGATCCGCCTGCCTCGGCCTCCCAAAGTGCTGGATTTTTTTTGAGATCAGTCTCGCTCTGTCACCAGGCTGGAGTGCAGTGGCGGGATCTCAGATCACTGCAAACTCTGCCTCCTGGGTTCAAGCAATTCTCCTGCCTAAGCCTCCCAAGTACCTGGGATTACAGGCTCTGTCACCATGCCCGGCTAATTTTTTATTTTTATTAGAGACGCGGTTTCACCATGTTGGCCAGGATGGTCTTGATCTCTTGACCTCGTGATCCTCCTGCCTCGGCCTCCCAAAGTGCTGGGATTACAGGCTGGAATTCTCTTTTCATGCTCTTTTCTCTTCTGCTACGATGTGAGCTCTTTAAGGAATTATAACTATTTTTATCTTATATGTTACAGAGAATCACAATGCTTAGTGTTTGGTGAATAAATGAATAAATGTCCCTGTAGAGGTCACTATTGTTACAGAACCAATGGCCCCATTTAAAAAAAAATAAATTAAGGAAAAAACATATAAGAAAGAATACTTCTGACTTTACTCAGCTGAAGTATCATGGGATGGAGTGATAATGTTAAATTCTGGCCCACTAAGTACCCAAATAAAAACCTCAGAAAAGAATTCTGTTAATGATAAGACAAGCAACCTCTCTTCCTGTTCAGCTTAGTGGAAGTGTTGACAGAAAATAGCTTTTAGGGGCCTGGGCAAGCTCTGAAAATTTCTAGGGAGGCAAAGTGTTTTATTTGGTACCTAAGCTGAGAACTTCTCTGTATTAAAGGATGCCAAGATATTCCTACAAGTGTATCCTTCATATCCATAAGGTTATGGAACTAGTTTTGGAAGGTATTGCTTTTGCTGAAAGGAAAAGTAGGCAGGGGGGCAAGAGAGGATTTATTGAGCACTTACTATATGTTCCAGGTATTTTAACACACAATATCCTTTTTTTTTTTTTTTTTTTGAGATGGATTCTCACTCTGTCGCCCAGGCTGGAGTGCAATGGTGCAATCTCGGCCTTGGCTCGCTGCAACCTCCGCCTCCCGGGTTCAAGCGATTCTCCTGCCTCAGCCTCCAGAGTAGCTGGGATTACAGGCATGTGCCACCATGCCTGGCTAATTTTTGTATTTTTAGCAGAGACGGGGTTTCGCCATGTTGGCCAGGCTGGTCTCGAACTCCTGACCTCAGGAGAGATGCCCGCCTCGGCCTCTCAAAGTGCTGGGATTACAGGTGTGAGCCACCGTGCCGGGCCTAACACACAATATCTTAATAAGCTTTTGTAACATCTTTTTGAGGTAAATGCTGTTGTCCACATCTTACCAACAAAGAACTGAAGCTCACTGAGGTGCAGTAAATTTCCTAACTTTACACAGCCTCTTCACAGAGGCTAAATAAGCATTCAGACTGAGGGCTTAAGAAGCTTTTTCCCTTAATAACTTTGGCTCTATGTCCTCACATTATCTTAGGCTTCAAACTGGAGACACAGGCATAAGACTCCATGTAGGTTATGTTGGGTGGGTAGTCAAACAGAGGGATGTGTACCATTGGTTTGGAGCATGAATTTTGAAGTCAAATAAACCTGGCTTTGTTCCTATCTGTGTGGAACTATCACTTTGTATCAGTAATCCTCATCTGAAGTTGTATAGCGCTGTCTTACGAATTATGTGAGATAATGCTTTTCATACAGGCATAAAAACTCAATTATTATTGTTACTGTAACTATTATTATTTTGCAGGCTTTTGATATTAGTGAATTGGGGCTGAGAAGCAAAGGTCTTCAGAATGTTTCTGTGAAGGTTGCTGGAAGAACAGTTTATTACTATTACTACTTTGGAATTGAGGCTTCAAATCTAATTTTGTGAACTGAGATAAACAAATTGAAATATTTGGGCCTGAATTTTATCTTTGAAATGGAAATAATAATTATTTGGAGGAAGAGCTAATCAAGCACTCTAAACAAAACCATTGATTCATTCAACAATTATTTATGGAACCAGAGCTAGAAATAGCAGGAGATCAAAAGACGGACCACTTTTTCAAGGAGCTAATAGTTCATGGGGAAGGAGAGACATGCATGTCAGCAATAAAAACACAGCCAGGCACGGTGGCTCACGCCTGTAATCCCAGCATTTTGGGAGGCCGAGGCAGGTGGATCTCCTGAGGTCAGGAGTTCGAGACCAGACTGGCCAACATGGTGAAGCCCCGTCTCTATTAAAAATACAAATCTTAGCCGTGTGCGGTGGTGGGCGCCTGTAATCCCAGCTACTCAGGAGGCTGAGGTAGGAGAATTGCTTGAGCCTGGGAGGTGGAGGTTGTAGTGAGCCGAGACCGTGCCATTGCACTCCAGCCTAGGTGACAAGAGCAAAACTCCATCTCAAAAAAGAAAAGAAAAAAGAAAAGAAAACAATAAAAACACAAGGTAAAAACCGGATAGAACTGGTAAAGACATGGACACATAGGTACCTTGAGTGTTGGATTAGTGAACTGTTATTTCAAAGGAAGATGATCTGAGTGCTCCTGTAAAGGTCTGGGAAATTTACACTGTGCCACTTTTCACGATTTTTTTTCTGCTTTCTCCACTCCATGATACATGTTGGATGTTTGATGCCTTCCAAATCAAGAGTTTCCAAGATAAAAGGAAAACACGTAATCTCGTTTTACACATAAGGAAGCGATAGCCCAAAAAGTTGTGTGTTTTAAGACTGCAAACTACCTTGTTGTCAAATTAGCACTCGAACCCAGGTTTCCTCATTCCCAGTCTACCCTTCTTTCTACTACACCATACTCCCTTTTGAGCCTCCACCATTAGGCTGACCCTAAACCAACGGTACATGAAGTGTTGCAAGATAGATTACACAAAGGTCCAAGGTACAGCTGCAGGATATGTGCCAGACTGGGGGAGAAATCATTTTGCTTTGGGGGCAATAGAAGGATTTCATATAAATGCAACAAAGTTTGTTGTTGTTGTTTCATTTGGATTATTTTCCCTAGTGCTCACTGTGGTACTAAATTATCCCGGAGCTTGGATGCTCCAAGGCCGAGGTCCACTGAAACAGTCCTAATCATTTCTAGAAGCCCAGTGATGCCTTCAGCTGGTGTGATGGATAAAGCAGCAGCTCTGGCCAGTGACTACCCTTCCCAGGTTTTCAAGTGTTGTGGTACATTTTGACTTATCAAAGTAATAGCTATGACTCTTCTTCTCTTCTTTCTGGACCAAAAGATCAGTCTTCTCTGCGAAGGTTTTTTCCCTTCCCCAAACTTGCGTTTCCTCTATTCCAAATACCCCATTTGGACTGGTTTATTTGGTCATGCTTAGACTTTCAACCAACAAATGCAGCCTCTGGACCGGATTCAGGGAAAGAAATGAGTGTGTCCATCCAGAGCTTTTCCCCTTCTGTTTGTCAGAGGAAAGTCACTCCCTGGAGGAAAACATCCTGTTCTTCTTTAGCCAGATCATATTGGCACAACACTTCCTCTGCTCACCCCATCCCTTTTTTATGTCTGGAACCACACATGCACAGAACCAGGCAGCCACCTGGGATGATAGACTTCCCAATAAATAGTAGACACAGCCCTCACTTACTGTTGTTGTATTTTTTTTTTTTTTTTGAGACAGAGTCTCACTCTGTTGCCCCGGCTGAAGTGGAGTGGCATGATCTTGGCTCACTGGAACCTCCACCTCCTGGATTCAAGCAATTCTCCTGCCTCAGCCTCCCAAGTAGCTGGGACTACAGGCGTGCACCACCACACCAGGCTAATTTTGTGTTTTTAGTAGATATCGGGTTTCGCCATGTTAGCCAGGCTGGCCTCAAACTCCTGACCTCGAGTCATCTGCCTGCCTCGGTCTCCCAAAATGCTGAGATTACAGGCATGAGCCACCACACCCGACCACTTACTCTTTATTGAATGAATCAGTGGATGGATGGATGGATGGATGGATGGGTGGGTAAGTGAATGGATAAAGTGCAGCCACTCTTCTCCGTGGTATTTTGAGAGCACTATGAAAGTCAGTAGCCAGATGGACTATGCACTATGGGGCAAGTATTATTCTTTGGAGAGACAAGCAGACATTTGACTCCAGAAGAGAAAGCAGCACAGTGCAGGGCATAGATCAAGCAGAGTATGCCTAAGGCAGAAAAGCCATATTCCATGGCTACTCACTTATTCTTGCCATCCTACTCCACTTCAGTTCACATGCCACTGACTTTGAGTAATTAGGCCAGGGAAGATAAAAAAAACTAACTCCTAATACCAAGTTCTTTTTATCCAAATTTGGAGCAAAACTCCTGAGCTCTATTCTTGGGGTTGAATGAGACAGCACTGCTGATGACTGATGTCTGAAAAGGCACCATATGGATTTGTACAAAGGGAAGAAAATAATCCTCAGTTGTAAAAATATCTTTGGTCTTCATAAGGGTGATATGTACCCACATGTTTCTGTCAGGTGGTTTTGCTATAAATGATTACTCTTGGACTAATAGAAAAATTTCCTTTTATAGTGATTGTACATTTTCCCAGATTATCAGTGTAGCATGCAAAATCCCACAACTTCAGACATTTAAAAGATCAAAGGCAGAGAGGCCATTGGGGTCTTTTGACTCACCACACACCAGAACAATAGTTTGGCTACCAAAAGTCCCTTTAACGACAACAAGAAAGTGTGCTTTCATAATTACCAAGCTGCACCGTGAAAACCAGTATGCATTCCTAATTCTTGCATTAAATATTCCTGTTGTTTCTTGATGGCAGTAAAATTCAAATTGTCTCCATATGATTAAAACGTTGGCCAATTGAGGTTCGGAGCTGTTTAGTCGATATTAACTGCAGTGGTGTTGAACTGATTTTCTGTTTCAGATGACAGCCAAAACTATCAAATAAATCCAAAAATATTTATTAGGGTGGCTTCTGAATATATAGAGTGTAGTTTATGACACTCTCAGTAATCTCACTGAAGGAAGGGAAAATATATTTTCCATCTGTGTAAACCCCTCAGTAGCTGGCAGAGGGTAGTTGCTTAGAAAATGTTTCGGGGGTGCATGAAAAGATGAGCAACTTGGGCATGGAGATTTGAAAGTAAGGCTCTGTTAATTTAAAAAATCTAACAAAGACACAGATAATGCTAACAAATCAGCCATCCGCTTAGAACTTTAGTCCTATTTCATCAGAGTTCTGATTTGTGTGTATTCAACAAACATTTATTGAGTTTCTACAATGTGCCAAGCATTGGGAATATAAAAAAGCATAAGACCTAGTCCTTGCCTCTCAGCAGCTCCCAGGTCACTAGGAGAAACAAACATGTAAACAAACAGCCACATTCAATATTAAAGGTGACCTTTGAGTAAAATGAGGCGGGAGCAAGGCGGAAAGGGACGTTTGAAACACTGGTTTTGCTCAGCAGGGACTGTGGAGCACGTATCGTACTAGAAGAGATTATGTGCTTGTTATTCTCAGCAGTTCCCAGCTCTCACATCACTTTCTTAGCAGTTTAGTTTTGTTGTCGTGACAGCATAGCAGCTCTGCTGTGAAAGTTTCTTCCTAGCTCCTGGAACTACAAGGACAGGCATACAGTTTGTGGCATCTAAATACCCCGCTGATTTGCTTGCTTGTAGCTCAGGAGTGCCCTTTGGCAATCTGTGCTCTGAGAGCCCTGGCTCCTGAGCTCTGTTGCACACCCGAGACAGCGGTCTCATTCCTGGCTTTCTTCTAAAGGATCGTAACCACGGTCATTAAAATGGATTCTTGGAATCCAAGCAAGACACATTCAGGTGTAGTTCTTTGGAAAAATATGATCCTAGGAAGGGAATGCGCCACAGTAGAGTAGTAATACTCCGTTTCTGGTTTCCTATCTGGCACTGGCTGAATTTCAGTTCATGAGAAAGAAGGACAGAGCAGGCCAGTAGTTTCCAGCTTTTATTTACTTGTGCACTGGCCAGAATGCAGGACGGAGAAAGTGACTATCAAAAGGTCAGGTCCTTTTTTTCTCTCTGCCCGAAGTATGCACAAGGAGATAACCAAATGTTTGTTTTTCTATCAGAGCGTAAGTTTGGGTACATCTACGTGACTAACGGCAGCTGAATTGAAATCCTGTGTCAAAGACTTACCTGGAATGCTCTAAACTGCTCTCAACAGCCTGAGATGGCATTAGAAATAGATTGAGTCACCTTGTGTGTTTTTTTTTTTTTGACAGAGTTTTTTCTTGTTGCCCAGGCTGGAGTGCAATGGCACAATCTCAGCTCACCGCAACCTCTGCCTCCTGGGTTCAAGCAATTCTCCTGCCTCAGCCTCCTGAGTAGCTGGGATTACAGTTGTGTGTCACTATGACCGGCTAATTTTTGTATTTTTAGTAGAGATGGGGTTTCACCATGTTGGTTAGGCTGGTCTCAAACTCCTGATCTCAGGTGATCCACCTGCCTCAGCCTCCCAAAGTGCTGGGATTACAGGAGTGAACTACCGTGCCCGGCAAGCCACCTTGTTTTATAGGGTGATTGCATACACCAATGAATGACCTTTGGTCCATAGTCATTAGGACAGAAAAGTTGAGTAATTCCTCTATAGTTTCGCATTTCCTTAACTTTTCCTGTGGGAAAATATAATGGATATCTTAAACACTGACTAAGACCTACATAACACTTATTATATGTGATGATTGATTAGACTTAGGATTCTAAGTTATATTTAAGCAAGTAGGATCTTCATCTCCCAAATTAATTCAAGAATGTTCATGATGCAATAATAATAATGACAACAAAAATAATGCCTACCGATCATTCAGCCTACACAATAGCAGAACACTTATTTGGAGTATTCTACTATAATAACTGATATTATAGTCGTCACAACTTATTTAGGATTTGTTATATGCCAAGCACTCAGGTAAATCTTCCAGTGCATTTAAGCCTTAACAACAGTCCTGTGACAATTGCATTGTTATCCTCGTTCTCCAGAAACCAGATCATCAAGTCACTCCCCCTTGAGGAAAAGGTAGGCCCTTTTTCTGTCTGCCTCTAAAACACTTCCTCTTAACCTTCATGCTAGACTAAGACCTGGACACATTATTAGGTGTTTTATAAACACAGTCTCATTTAATTCTCAAGACAAGCCAGGTATTATTATTATCCTTTTTCATACAAATGAAAGTCCAGAGCTCCAGTGCCAAAAGCAAGGAGCCAGAATTCAGACCCAACTCGGCCTGACTCCAAAGCCCAGGCTTTCTGTCCACTCAATATGCCGCCTCCAGATGGCTTCCAGGGCATTATCCTCATTCCTGAATTGCCTTCCCAGTGACTTTTCTTCCCCCTGAAATTCCCTTATTAGGGAATAACACCTTCCATTCCATAATTTGGAATATAACTGGAAAAGCAAAATCCTGCTGGGATATTTGAAGATTGACCCAAAGAGCTCTGGGTTGCCAAGGGCTGCCCAGGAGGAGGGGGTGCAGGAAAGGGTGCATGGGGAGGGGATGAAGTATAACCCCAAGAGAGCAAAAGAACTTAAGAAAAGGAGCCCTGGGAGGTAATGAAGAAAGCACATACTTCACTTTCTTTTTGAGACTGAGTCTCACTCTGTGGCCAGGCTGGAGTGCAGTGGCGCAATCTTGGCTCACTGCAACCTCCACCTCCTGGGTTCAAGTGATTCTCCTGCCTCAGCCTCCCAAATAGCTGGGACTACAGGTGCACACCACCATGCCCAGCTAACCTTTGTATTTGTAGGAGATCCACCCTCCTCGGCCTCCCGAAGTGCTGGGATTACAGGCATGAGCCACCACGCCCGGCCATACTTCACTTTTTTTATATGGGCTAACTCAGTGGGTATTAGATTGCCTTGTTTATATGTATTATACAGTCGTGTGCCACATAATGACATTTTGGTCAAGACAAACTGCATATATGATATGGTCCCATAAGATTATAATGGAGCTGAAAAATTCCTATCACACAAATGTTTATCACTGTGTTTATTTCTTTATACTATTCAGTACAGTAACGTCCTGAACAGGTTGGTAGCCTCTGAGCAGCAGGCTATACCATATAGGCAAGGTGTTTTGTGTAAGTATGCTCTATGATGCTCGTACAAGGATGAAATCTCTAAAAACACATTTTTAGAATGTGTCCCCTGTCGTTAAGTGACACATGACTGAATATATATATACATATATATAAATATTCATGTATAAATATATATATTTGACTCTGAACTTAGTTTTTGCTTTGAATTTCACTGTAGTATCCCCTGAAGATACTATTTATAAGAAGATCTATGCCAAAGAACATATACAAACTCAACTTGGTTTTTCTTGGGTCTTTCTCTTAAATCTTCTTTTGGATTACTAAATTCTCAAATGTTCTACCCATGTAAGGTTATCCCACTACTCCAAATGGTTGAGTTTCTCAGTCCAGTTTTCCTGTCTTCTTAGGTTCAACCCAATATTCTTTCCTGGTTTATTTCCGGGAAAAGAGCAAATAAAGAATGAACCAATTTTTATCCTTTTACCCTTTTATCAATTCCATGCAGTGACTGAATGCTCCCCACAATGCCTGCCACGTGTGGCATGAATATTGCATAGTGAGGAACTTAATTTATGGGAATCAAGCTGATGAAAACTCTCAAAACCAGGATGAGGCCGGGAGCAGTGGCTCACACCACGCCTCTAATCCCAACACTTTGGGAGGCCAAGGCAGGAGGATCACTTGAGCCCAGTAGTTCAAGACCAGCCTGGGAAACTTGGCAAGACCCGATCTCTACAAAAAATCAAAAAATTAGCAGGATGTAGTGTTGTGTGCCTGTGGTCCCAGCTACTTGAAAGGCCGCAGCAGGAGGATTACTTGAGCCCAGGAGTTCAAGGCTGCAGTGAGTTATGATCATGCCATTGCACTCTAGCCTAGGAAACAGAGTGAGACCCTGTCTCAAAACAAACAAACAAACAAATTAAGATGACCATTAAATAAATCACCCAAACTGGACTACTTTTCAAATTGAAAGAGGGTGCGATTAACACTGGGATAGCAAGCAGAAGGTAGGCCATTGCAGAGCAAAGAAACGGCAAGGAGAAAGAGTGAAGTCTGGCCACTAAGGTCGTGTCAGCCCTTTTAGGTAACATAGTCCTTGTCATTTAATAGACACTGAGAACAATCACGCCTATTCATTTACAAACACTAGGAAAGTACTATGCACCAGGACTAGGCTAGGCCCTGTGAAGGATTCCGCCATGAAGCTCAGAGTCTACTGCAACACACAAAGGTGACTTACATGAGTAACAGTAATGGTACTAACCAACTTTTATTGAGAACTTTCCATATGACACATACGTTGCTGATTACCTTTTGTTCACGATCTCATTTAATCTTCACCTAATCTTGTAAACTAGGTAGACTCATTGTGCTGGGTTTTAAAATCTGGATACTGAGACTCAGAGAGGTAAGTTATATGTTGGTCTTCCACTGGTCTCCCAACTCATAACTGGTGGAAACAGAATTCAGGACTCAGTGTGTGGAATCTGAAGGCCTGAGCTCATAGCTCCATGCTTTGCTGCTTCTCTGCACAGGACACTAAGATAAATGTCATGGTAGAGATAGGAGCCAAGTGACAATGGACTGCAAAGCAGCCTCTTCCCCCTTCCTGTCATGCATGGGGAGCACAAGAGAAGGGAAAGCTTTACAAAGGAGATGACATTTGAGATGGGCCTTAAAGACTACCTAGACTTTATTTTATTTTATTTTATTTTTTTCTTTTCTTGAGATGGAGTTTCACTCTTGTTGCCCAGGCTGGATTGCAATGGCATGATCTTGGCTCACTGCAACCTCTGCCTCCTGGGTTTGAGCAATTCTCCTGCCTCAGCCTCCCGAGTAGCTAGGATTACAGGCGCCCACTACCATGCCGGCTAATTTTTTTTTTTTTTTTGTAGTTTTAATAGAGACGGGGTTTCACCATGTTGATCAGGCTGGTCTCGAACTTCTGTCCTCAGGTGATCCGCCTGCCTTGGCTTCCCAACCTGCTGGGATTACAAGCTTGAGCCACCGTGCCCGGCCAAGATTACCTAGACTTTCATCAGGGAGCAGAGAGGCAAAGTGGAGACATTCCAGGGCAAGTCCAAGCCTCACAGGCCAGTGCATGCGGCAGGGGAGCAGTTTTCTCCTCTGTAACACCAATGTGTAAGGGGCAGTGATGGACCTGTGTATTGAAGGCTGCCTGTCTCTGCGATGGCGAGCAGGAAAGGGCCCCAACTTGACAACATTCTTGAGGCACATAAATACATAATCACGTGCAGAGTTGTTTGGTCCCTAGGAAGTGGTTTCTATCACATGTCAGGATTGTAGACTCTGTGTTAAACATCCAGTCAAGGAATCTGTCAAGAAAGACTTCAGCAAACCTTATTTGTCAGAGGATATCAAATGTTGGAGTACTATCTAAGTGAATTCTGAAGATAACTAAAAAGGACCATTTTAATGGCTTTTTTTTAACACTTAAATATTTTTTGGTGCAAATATTTTCAAAAACTATTATTTATTTCCCCAAATTACCCAAAAGGCCACTGTTATGATGGTATCTCGTTGTGTCCACTGGCACAATAAAAAGTTATAAGTCAGTCTCTTTGCATATAAACTTATCTTACAAATGAATTGTGTCTTACAAGTCTGATTGCATTTCACTCTAAAAATCATGAGATGTGCTAATTAGTAATATTTCACTCACCTTCTAGATGAAATTAAATTTTAGAAGTAGTCTCAAGCAAATTTACCTGCCTGTCTACATTGACTCTTTTGTTAAATGTATTTTTGGTTCCAATGCCAAGATGGAGTGTCTCTCAGCTGTAGCCACAGCCTTTAGAATTCTTCTACTTGTAGCCTGGAGAGGAGGCTCCATCACAGACTTTTATATCCTTGGAACCAGACTGTAAAATTTTATAGTCAATTGTAGAACCGTGGTCTGAAAAACCTATTCAAACCTTTCAAATACAAACTTCATCCTACAGTAGAATTAAGAGCCATTTATTTTCTATCAAAAGCATCATAAACAGCTCCATACCTTGTAGCAAATCAGGAAACCAGATTGCCAGGGAAGGTACTGGGCCTACTAACTCAGCTGCTGGAGCTGTTTCAAAAGCTCCTGGATGACCTCCAAAGGCCCCTTCCACTTCAAAAAACTCCCTCACTTTTCAGCAAGTCGTGACTTATGACCAGGTCTTGGGCAACCCAATCCGTGATCATCTGTGAAAGAGCAATCCATTTCCAGATCATTAGGAAAATTACCAAGCCTAGCACTTAGTTGAAATAAAGGCCAGAAAAGTTGAAGGTGGGAGATGTGGGCAAGAAGGAATAAATGTACCAAGAGGAAATTCCGCCAAAACGTGAGCGTCGACTAACATGAGTGAGGAAGGAATACCAAAGACGTAAGCTCTTCTGTACACATGGGCCTCCTCAACACCAGCCCCCTTCATCAAATGCTGAATAATTTTCTTAGGTATATCTCTAAGCTACGTAACCTCTTTTCAGTTTTCTAACAACATTAATTCCACTTCATTCAATATGTTCCTTCAACAAGCGTTTATTGAGTCCCTTGTACGTGTTAGTCGCTCTGTCAGGCTCTGGGACTACCCTGGAGGATCATAACTGTATGATTCATGCCTTCATGGAGCCAATGACAGTGGTAGAGAGTGGAAAGTAAACAAGGAAATAATAAATAATTGTGTTAGTTGTAGGCAGAAAACAGCACGAGTGCTTCTTTTGATGGGGTGGACAGGGAAATTTCCTTTGAGGAAATAAATGTCAGTTAAGGAGAAGACAGTTAAGAAGTCATTTCTGGCTGGGCATGGTGGCTCACGCCTGTAATCCCAGCACTTCGGGAGGCCAAGGAGGGCAGATCATGAGGTCAGGCATTTGAGACCAGCCTGGCCAACCTGGTGAAACCCCTTCTCTACTAAAAATACAAAAATTAGCCGGGCATGGAGGCGCGTGCCTGTAATCCCACTCAGGAGGCTGAGACAGGAGAATCACTTGAACCCAGGAGGTGGAGCTTGCAGTGAGCCGAGATCGCCCCACTGCACTCCAGCCTGGGCAACAGAGGGAGACTCCGCCTCAAAAAAAGAAAAGAAAAAAGAAAAAAAAAAAGGTCATGAGACTTGGGGAAGAACAAGCACAAAATTCTCAAACAAGGCCGGGTGCAGTGGCTCACACCTGTAATCCCAGCACTTTGGGAGGCCGAGGTGCATATATCACCTGAGGTCAGGAGTTAGTTGGTCACCTGCCCAACATGGTGAAACTCTGTCTCTACTAAAAATACAAAATTAGCTGGGCATGGTGGCACATGCCTGTAATCCCAGCTACTCAGAAGGCTGAGGCAGGAGAATCGCTTGAACCCAGGAGGCAGAGGTTGCAGTGAGCCAGGATCGCCCCATTACATTCCAGCTTGGACCATAAGAACGAAACTCTATCTCAAAAAAAAAAAAAAAGAAAGAAAAAGAAAAAGTAAAAAAATCCTCAAACCCATAAAGAGCAGGACCAGATATTTTCTAGGAACTTCTAGAGGACACTTGTGCTCAGAACTTAGTGTGCAAATGACAGTGGAACAATTTGAGGTGCAAAAACTGGCAAGCTATCGAGATACTACAGGGCCACAGCCAAGGTAAAGAGCTCTGATGTTAGTGTATGTGAATGTTATTCTACATTAAAAGAATGGCTGAACACAACACAATGAATAGCATCTAATAATAAAAGAAGTGCATCTTCAGATAAATGTTCTTAAAATACAGCTGTAGTTATGACATTTTCCTGCTCACAGATAACTGTTCAAAGCAAAAGGAAACTCCCAGGCACTGAGGAAAGGGTCCTTCTCCATCTCACTGTACACACATCTCTTCCACCTCCCACCATGTGTCCTGGGAGCCAACCACCCCTCCACTTGAACACGTACTGCATTTTTCTAGGCTCATGCTGGTCCTTTCTCCTCCTTCCCCACTCCAACATCCGCCTGTTGAAATTCTACCCATCCGTCCAGACCCAGCTTAAAGGCCACCTGTTCCAGCAAGCCTTCCCTTTCTGTCTCTGCCAGAATTTTTCTTTCCTTCCTCTGTCCTCCCAAAGGACTTTGCACTTCTCTTAAAGTGCTTACCACACTCTGCCTTGAACTATACCTATTACCCACATCACCTTCCCTCCTGAGTACAACCTGCTCAAGTTCAGCTAGGTGGCAATGATCAGTTTATGATCGCATAGGATCATTGTTCCTACGGGATCATGAACAATGGGATCTCCCATGAGATCAGGAGATCCCATTGTTCTCATAGGAACAAGGCACCCTTAGGTACCAAAGAAAGTAGAAGAGATACTGGGAAAGGAACATAAGGCAATGAAAGGTGAAGAGTAGGATGAGGAAAGAAAATTGTTAAAATTTAATTTAATGTCTTTCCTTTTCTTTTCTTTTTTTTCTTTTTTTTTTCTTTTTTTCTGAGATGGAGTTTCGCTTTTGTTGCCCAGGCTGGAGTGCAATGGCACGATCTCAGCTCAACACAACCTCTGCCTCCCGGGTTCAAGCGGTTCTTCTCCCTCAGACCCCCGAGTAGCTGGGATTACAGGCATGAGCCGCCACGCCCGGCTAATTTTGTATTTTTAGTAGAGACAGGGTTTCTCCATGTTGGTCAGGCTGGTCTTTAACTCTTGACCTCAGGTCATCTGCCCGCCTCGGCCTCCCAAAGTGCTGGGATTACAGGCGTGAGCCACCATGCTCGGCCTAATTTAATGTCATTTTAAAATTAAATTAAAGAGATAGGGTCTTGCTCTGTCGCTCAGGCTGGTGTGCAGTGGTGTGATCACGGTTCACCATGGCCTCGCCCTCCAGGGTGCAAGCAATCCTCTCACCTCAGCCTCTCAAGTAGCTGGAACCACAGGTGCTTGCCATACAGCCCAGCTAATTTTTAATTTTAATTTTAATTTTTATAGGGATGTGGGTCTCATTATGTTGCCCAGGCTGGTCTTGAACTCTTGGTCTCAGGAGATCCTCCTGCCTTAGCCACCCAAAGTTCTGGGGTTGTAGGTTTGAGCCATCCAGCCCAGCCGGAAACAAACTTACTAAATAAGTAACTATGCTTTGAAAATGCTTCAAAGACTGTATTTTAAGCTTTAGGCTTCCTAAACTTAATTCAAGCAGCATATTCATCCCAAGTCAACTTCACTTTTGACATATTAGTGTCATTTTGTAGAGGTACAGTTGTCTGGTCAACAAACATAGGTTCCGGTTCAGGCTCTACTTATAATTAGCTGCGTGACCTTGCACGAAAAAGCTCTTAGAGACTAAAAAGCTCTACAGTTTTTCTATGTGAAAAATAAAGATGACCTTAGCTGGCCTGCTTTCCTGTGAATGTCTAAAATGTTACGGTGACAAGGCGTAAGAAGAGTTGCCACCATATGATGACTGGATGAAGTCCCCAATACCTCTGCAGCAATAGACACAGGCCACAACCTCCGAAGCTCTGCTGTCGAACTGACTATAACTAACAGGTGTCTGAGTTCGGGTATTCCCAGAAGCAAACGCTGAGTCAAGGATTCAAGTGCAAGCAATGTAGTGAGAAGTGCCAGGAACAAGGGTAGGTGTTGGAAGAAATGACCAGGGAAGCGAAGATAGTCAATAAAAGGTGCATTCTAAGCCAGTCATCTCAATGGGCAAATGGCTGTTAGTGCAATGGGAAAACACTGAAAAACAGTGCAAAACACTGAAAAACAGTACAAAACACACACCTCAGAATCGTCCCTTCTGGGAGGTAACAAAAACCAAGATATTTGTACTCCACATCTGCCATTCATTGGTTAAGGAGTGCCCCTGTGAGGACGTGAACTCCCAGGCACTTCCAGCTCCCTGTGCCTGCAGGCACCGTGGGTTCCATGTGCCGTTTCACAGCAGTTTTCCATCAAAGAGCAAGGTGCTGGCCCTTGACAGCCAGGCTGGAGGGCACAGAAATGGTAAGGGACTGGAGGGAATAGGGCAGAGTTCAGAAAACATCTGCCCTAACAGGCCTACAAATCAGGCCAAAGAGAATAATACTACCTCAGTGGATTCAGAATCTAGCATAGGTAGGGTGTTCTTTCACAATAAAAACACAGAATTAAGCATTGTGTAGTCTATCTGCATGGCTAAGAGTGCCATTCATTATAGTATATTTCAACCTAATCAATGCATAAATTATATCTACACAATGTAACATAATGCAGCTAATAAGAATAGTATATTAAAGCTATTTACATGAAAAAATGCTCATAAAAGTGAAAACGGCTGGTATGGTAGCTCACACCTATAATCCTAGCACTTTGGGAGGCTGAGGCAGGTGGATCACTTGAGCCCAGGAGTTCAAGACCAGCCTGGGCAACATGGCAAAATTCTGTCTCTACTAAAAATACAAAAATTAGCCAGTCACAGTGGCTTATGCTTGTAGCCTCAGCTACGTGGGAGGCTGAGGCATGAGAACCACTTGAACCTGCGAGGGTGAGGTTGCAGTAAGCCGAGATCACACTACTGCCCTCCAGCCTGGGTGACAGAGCAAGACTCTGTCCCCACCCCCCCAAAAAAAAGAAAAAAGAAAAAAAGAAAGAAAAGAAAGTGAAAATGCAAGTTACATATTTTTTTAAAAGCATGTCTATATAAATACGCCTAAAAATCTGGGAGTACATATTTATATAGACAGTGTGTGTTTTAACAGGGGTTATCTTTGAGTGGTAGGCTTCTTAGTGATTTTAATTTTCTGCTGATCTATATTTTCTCATTTTTCTCTAATTGATCTATATGATTTACAAAGACTTAACTTCAGAATAGGAAAAAATAATCAGACCCAAGAGCAGGATCGATCAAATAAAGCCTTCGAGAGGGTAAAGTCAATTTGATCCAGAAATGTCTATAATGTATGTTATATATATTTCCAAGAATTCTCTCCTGATTGCTTTGGTGACACGTATATTAAGTTCTTTCCTCACTCTGCTGCAGTCTCTCGTTTTTCCAGTTTAATTCACTTTCAGTAGAAAAGTAGAACTGACTAGAACCCCTGATAGGCATCTTTAAACATGCAGTTTCTTTGCCAAAGTCACCTTAAGTAGAGGTTGGGTAAAAAACTGAAATCAACACTTTTGAACTTCATTCTTTAAGATAAACTCTTTTTCAACTCTCTTTGAAGGAAGTAACCGAGGTACCAGGGTGACACCTGATTGACCACTATTCTGTATTCTCTGTGTACAAACATCATGGGTACATGCAGTTTGGTTATTTGCAGATTTCTGTTGGGGTTGGGAGCCTGGTTCATGTGTCTCTCCTCGGCTCTTCTTCCAGGGTCCACTTCCTTCCTTACATACCAGCATCAGGAACTGGTTCTCTTCTCTGCTAATAAGCTTAGTCCTGGACAAGCTTCTGCACTTGGAGTATTCACTAAGCACAGAAGCAGCAGGAACAAGAGGGAGAACTATTCCTTTAAGGTCACTCAGTGAGAAGTCTCTCTAAAGATCTATTTGTTCTTCACAGAGAAAGGAGTCAGCATCCATTTCTGCTAAGTAGTGATCAGGAGAAAGTCAAATTAGATTAATTACCTGGAATAAAAATGGACTTGTACTTTTGCTAGTAATGGATTTCTAGTCCAGGGAGCTTTACAAGTATTAATAGCATACTAGTTCTTGGCAGATGACAGTCATTAGTGAGAAAGTAACTCTATCCTCCGGAGATGATTTAGCTTTGTCACTATGTAGTAATCTTTGTCTTAATCTTATGTTGAGGCAGAGAAAAATTTTTCTTAAATTTGCTTGTGAAGCATAATAGTTTCTAGAGTAAGTCACAGAAAGGGCTTTTCTGCTCTGTGTGTGAGTTTTGTCTTTTTTTTTTTTTCTATCGTGGGTTCTGAATTAAATATAGTAAGATTCTTTTAATAATTCTTTATTTTGAGGGCCCAAGTGGGAAAATTGTTCTGAGAAAGAACTCATCAGATGCAACTCATCAGATGCAAGTTCTTTTTAAATGCACAAGCTTCCTTTCCCTTCATACTCTTAACTCAGTGTTCTTTAAACCAAGGATTGGCCTTCCTGGGCCAAGTAGGTTACCATCATGTCTCCACTGTGACCTTTTGAGGGGCCCTCCACCTGGTTGGAACTTTCTTTCTCTTTTTTTTTTTTTTTTTTTTTTTTTTTGAGATGGAGTCTCTCTCTGTCACCTAGGCTGTAATACAGTGGCATGACCTCGGCTCACTGAAACCTCCGCCTCCCAGGTTCAAGCGATTCTCCTGCCTCAGCCTCCTGAGTAGCTGGGATTACAGGCGCCCGCCACCACGCCTGGCTAATTTTTGTGTGTATAGTAGAGATGGGGTTTCACCGTGTTGGCCAAGCTGGTCTCGAACTCCAGACCTCAAGTGATCCTCCCACCTTGTCCTCCCAAAGTGCTAAGATTACAGGGGTGAGCCACCGTGCCCAGTCAGAACTTTATTTCTTTAATCCCGAGACTGCAGTCTGTGTTAAGTACATCCCCGTCAGAGAAATTAGGGTATTTAATCTATTTAATGCCAGATTTTAACCCTTGGTCACAGCTGAGTTGCAGATGACCATAACAGTCACAGGTGGCAGTCCTCACAGGGCCCTATGGTGGCAAGGTCCTAAGAGGGGGTGTCTCCTTTAAACTGCACCCTCGGGACCTTCCTTCCTTCCTTCACACTAGTCTTGGCCCTGACATGTGCTTATGCTCACAAAGCACTTTTACCTACATTGCCTAAATTGATTCTCACTACAAACTTAGGAAATCAAGTGAATACAAGGATCCCTCCCCACCAGTTGATAAGGAGCCTGAATTTTCAAGGTAAAGGTCTTGCAACAGGACTGGGACCAAGAGCTTCATTTTTAATGTCATCTTCTCTCTAGTAAACTACTTTTTTTCCCCCTCAAATGGAAGGGAAACTACAAAAAAGGCAAAGGATGGACAGAAAGGATGGCAGCACCGTCATCCCTCAGCTTCTGTCAGGGATTGTTTCTAGGTCCTCTGTGGATACCAAAATCAGAGGATGCTCACATCCCTAATAGAAAATGGTGTTGTATTTTCATGTAACCTGTGAGCTTCCTCTCACATACTTTAAATAAACTCTAGGATACTTATAATACTAATACAATGTAAATGCTATGTAAATAGTTGTTATACTGCATTGCTTTTTATTTCTTTATTTTGAGACAGGGTATCACTCTGTCACCCAAGCTAGAGGGCTATGGTGAAATCATGGCTCACTGCAGCCTTATCCTCCTGGGCTCAAGCAATCCTCCTTCTCCAGCCTCCCAAGTAGCTAGGGCTAGGACCACAGGTGCACGCCACTATGCCCAGCTAATTTTTTTTATTTTTTAATTTTTAATTTTTATTTTCATTCTTCTTTTTTTTTTTTTTTTTTGAGATGGAGTCTCGCTCTGTCACCCAGGCTGGAGTCCAGTGGCTTGATCTCAGCTCACTGCAACCTCCACCTCCTGGGTTAAAACAATTCTTCTGCCTCAGCCTCCCCTGTAGCTGGGATTACAGGCACCCACCAGCATGCCTGGCTAATTTTTGTGTTTTTAGTGGAGACAGGGTTTTATCATGTTGGTCAGGCTGGTCTCAAACTCCTGACCTCAGGTGATCCACCTGCCTCAGCCTCCCAAAGGGCTGGGATTACAGGCATGAGCCACTGCGCCCGGCCATTTTAAAAAATTTTTTGTAGAGATGGGGTCTTACTGTGTTGCCCAGGCTTATTGTTTTCATTTGTATTATTTTCATTGTTGTAGTCATTGCTTTCTTTTTTTTTCTCCAAATATTTTTGATCTGAGTTTGGTTGAATCCATTGATGCAGAAATCTAGGATATGGAGGCCCAACTGTAAAGATAAACCCTACAGTTCTTATCACTTATTCTTGTTCCTTGTGTGGGGAGGGGACAGCAACCTCTCTAAAGGATTCAACTAGCAGAGGCTAATTTCAGAAGTAGATAAAACACAGAATAAAATAGAGATGAAGGCTGGGCGCGGTGGCTCATGCCTGTAATCCCAGCACTTTGGGAGGCCGAGGTGGGCAGATCACGAGGTCAAGAGATTGAGACCATCCTGGCCAACAAGGTGAAACCCCATCTCTACTAAAAATACAAAAAAGTTAGCTGGGCATGGTGGCGCATGCCTGTAGTCCCAGCTACTCAGGAGGCTGAGGCAGGAGAATGGCTTGAACCTGGGAGGTGGAGGTTGCAATGAGCTGAGATAGCGTCACTGCACTCCAGCCTGGCGACAGAGTGAGATTCCGTCTAAAAAAAAAAAAAAGATAGAGATGAGTAAGATGAAGGGAGAAAGTGGGAGAAAGGGAAGAGAAGAACGTGATTTAGAAACTAGAATTTATGTAGAGCATATTTGGTCATCAGAGCAAATTATAGAAGACAAGTCCAGCTGGCTGAATGCAACACTGCCTTGAAAAAAGGCACTGACATCGTGTACATTTGGTGCTATTCCATGAATGGAAATTTTCTAGTAGCAAAGTTAATTATATAAGTAAATTGGCCATTTGTCATTAGCTATCTGTCACATCTTTATATTTTTCCTAAATAACGTCTGCATGTTTATGTGGTTGGATAATTTAGATGTCTCCTTGGGCTGAGCATTTTTTTGCCCTTTTTTTTCCTCCATGAGATTAACATATATATGCCACATAAGCAACATTTTCTGCAAGTAAGGATTATTTCGAAAGTGTCACATTCCAGAAACTGTACTTTCAGATGATGATTCGATGTAGTTACAGATTACAAGGCACTGTGCAGACAGATACAGGAAATGATTTTTTTAGGACTCACCCAGGCAAAACGGAATCCTAAAATGCCATAAAAGAAGATTGTCATTACCATCAAAATAAGAAGATGTGGTAAAAAGGAGAAAGAAAATACAAGAGGTTTTAGTCAAGCAAATCTAAAATGAAAAAAGTAAAATCAGCCATGGAATCCAGAAATAGTTTTCTGAGAAGTAAATTTTCCTATACTTTGTTTGTCTTTTGGAATCTAATAGCTACGTACTTTAAAAAAATTTTGTTCCTTGGATCAAAGAGGAGAAAAATATACAACAAATTTCTCTTTTTTTTTTTTTGAGACAGAGTTTTGCTCTTCTAGCCCAGGCTGGAGTGCAATTGTGTGATCTTGGCTTACTGCAACCCCTGCCTCCTGGGTTGAAGCGATTTTCCTGCCTCAGCCTCCCAAGTAGCTGAGATTACAGGTGCACGTCACCACGCACAGCTAATTTTTGGTATTTTTAGTAGAGATGGGGTTTCACCATGTTGGACAGGCTGGTCTTGAACTCCTGACCTCCGGTGATCCACCTGTCTCGGCCTCCCAAAGTGCTGAGATTATAGGCGTGAGCCACCAGGCCAGGTCAACAAATTTCTTAATAAAATTTTATTCAGGTCAGAAAATAAGAATTCAATATCTTAAACTCTTTTTTTGTGTGTGTGTGTGATGGAGTTTCACTCTTGTTGCCCAGGCTGGAGTGCAATGGCACGATCTTGGCTCACTGCAACCTCCACCTCCTGTGTTCAAGTGATTCTCCTGCCTCAGCCTCCCGAATAGTTGGGTTTACAGGCATGTGCCACCACCTCAGCTAATTGTTGTATTTTTAGTAGAGACGGGGTTTCACCATGTTGGCCAGGATGGTCTTGATCTCTTGACCTTGTGATCCACCCGCCTTGGCCTCCCAAAGTGCTGGGATTACAGGCATGAGCCATCGAGCCCGGCCATCCTAAACTCTTCTAATGAATTATAGCAGTGGTTCTCAAAGTGTGGTTCCCTGGCAGGCTACACCAGCATCACCTGAACACTTGTTGGAAAGTCACCTTTCAGCTGCCACCCCAGACTTCCTGAATCAGACACTCTGAAGGTGGGGCCCAGCAATCGTGCATTAATGAGGCTTCAGGAGATCATGAAGTTTGAGAACCACTGTATTACAGAATTGCCTTGCAGGCTCTAAATAGAAACCAATGAAGAGTTTACTAAACTGTTACTTGTATGACTTTATTTTGGAGAACCACCAAAATCAAATTCTGTGTACCTATTAGTGTATTCTGTAATCAACATTTCTTTAAATTTAAAAGGCAGAAATATCTGTATGAAAAATTTTATTTTAGAACTCATATTCAGAAAACAGCTGTTTAAATATATAAATTGACAGGCATAGAAAAGCTTAATTCCAAGTGAACAGAAAGTTCAATTCTTAGATAAAACATTTCATACTAAAATTCTTTTGCTGAATTCTAAAGCAACACAATTCAGAAAAATAATTACTTTTGATAGAAATTATTTATTGATTTGTATAAATTAATTTAACTAAAAGTTACTCATTTTGATTTTAATGACTTTGTTATAAAATTATAAAACCCCATCTAAATATTTAGATAGGTGTTATTTTAACTTAAAATGTTCAAACTTAATAATAGCTACAATCTATGAGCGTTTACCACATATCAGGCCCTGCTAACCTTCATAACAACCATATAAGATGAGTACCAGTAGTTGATTTTGGCAGATGGTAACTGAGACAGAGAGTTTAATTAATGACTAAGAATCGCACAGCTACTTGAATGGCAGAGCTGGGTGACAAACTTAGGCTGTTTCTTGAGTTTATGCTCTTTTTTTTTTTTTTTTGAGATGGATTTTTGCTGTTGTCACCCAGGCTGGAGTGCAGTGGCACAATCTTGGCTCACTGCAACCTCCACCTCACCCATTTGAGCGATTCTCTTGCCTCAGCCTCCCAAGTAGCTGGGACTACAGGCATGCACCACTACGCCTGGCTAATTTTTGTATTTTTAGTAGAGACACGGTTTCACCACGTTGTCCAGGCTGGTGCTGAACTTTTGACCTCAGGTGATCTACCCGCCTCAGCCTCCCAAAGTGCTGGGATTACAGGTGTGAGCCACTGGCGCGGCTGAGTTTATGCTCTTAACTAACAAGCTACACCCTCCATTATTACATTATTCTTAAACACAAATGTTCATATTAAATAGGCAATATATTGGATATCTAGGCTGGGCATGGTGATGCATGCCTGTAATCCCAGCACCTGGGGAGTCCAAGGCAGGAGGACTGCTTGAGGTGAGGAGTTTAAGATCAGCCTGGGCAAAATAGTGAGACACCATCTCTTCAAAAAATTTAAAATATAATTGGGTGTGGTGGCCCACCTGTAGTCTTGGCTACTCGAGAGGCTGAGGCAGGAGGATTGCTTGAGCCCAGGAGTTCCAAGTTACAGTGAGCTATGATTGTGCCACTGCAGTTCAACCTGGGTGACAAAGTGAGACGCTGTCAGGAAGGAAGGAAGGATATATTGGATATGTTTCAACTAAATGTTGCACAGAAGGTAACGTCTACCAGCAGTAATTAACAAATTAGGCAAGTGTCTCCATAAACTTTTTGTTAAAGCAAGTCATCAATTATTTAAACAAGAACATATATCTTGATAAGGCATGTCAGCAAATGAAAATATTAGTTGATTATTGGTATGAAGAGAAAAGCTTATGAAAATTCAAACCATTTTTATTGTAAACTGGTTAAGAACAGAAATTTAACAGAAACCTAACAGTTATTCATGTTACATTTTGTGTACATACTACTGTGAAATACTTCAGGATTAACATGCACCTTTAAAAATTTGTATTTAAATTTCTTATTTAAATAGAAATGAGGTCTTCCTATGTGGTCCAGGCTGGTCTCGAACTCCTGGGCTCAAGCAATCTGCCTGCCTTGACCTCCCAAAGTGCTGGGATTACAGACATGAGCCACCACACCCAGCCAGACATGCACTTTTTATCATGTTTTAGAGTTGCTCCAATTTCAGCATCCAGAAGCGGAGTCTAAATTTCTACAGGTGTTCTGGTTTTAGATTTGTGTGCATATCACAGATGACAAACGCATATGTATGTCTGACACCAGCCACTCCACTTTAATATCTGCTCCCTCACACTGCCCCATGCAAGGGGATGCCCAAGGTAGAAACAGAATCATAAGCAAAGTTACTTATGTATCTTTCACCAGGCATGTCTTCCATCTTTTAATTTTTCTGCCACTCCTCATGTCCTTCTCTCCCCCAGAAATGCCCTGTTGTTTTAGCTTTACCAGTTGAAATCCATCACACTTCAAAGCCCAAATGCTACGCCTTCAAGCTCTGATGAACCTTTCTTGATGACCCCAGACAGAAACCGTTGGCACTCCCTGAGCATTTTGTCCAATCCCATGACATTCATATTATAGTTACTCATGTAGAGAGATGTTCACACCCTTATGAGACTGCAAATTCCTGAGAGAAGTGAACGAAACACCTTTGCTTTCCCATACCTCCTATCACAGCGTATTGCACATGAAAATAAGAATGCTTGCTCTGTTGTTATGGTTTACAAAGTGCCTTCACTAAAACTCTCACTCTATCCTCACCTCTACCCTGTGACGTAGGAATGATTATTATCTCATTGTAATAGATGAAGAAGCAGAGAGTAAGACTGAGGAGGTGTTTTGCGTAATGCCACTGTGGGTCTCCTGACTCCAGATCTGTGCTGCTTCTAGTACATATCTGCCCTCAAATATTTGTTAAATGAAATGACAAATTTAAAAGATGAATTAATCAATTCTGGGGAGGGTCAGAGATTGAACTGCAAAGTTGATGTTACAACCTTCCATGGCTTCTCCACAACCTTCTAGACTTCTCCACAAATCTGCCAGCTTCCCCACAGACAGTGGCGACAGGGAGAACGGGTATGGAATGTAACTGCCATGTAGAATCTGACAGATGTGGCCTGGGGAATTCATCTCCCATCCCCTAAAGGTTTAAGGAGAATGACCTGACAATGAGAGTCTGAAGGGAAAAGAGAAAGCATCTTCTGACCTAGAAAGTGCCAAATTGCACAGGAATCCCTACCTGAATGTGAAGGTGTTTTCCTTTCAATCCCAATCTTTCTCATAAGGCAGAGTATCAGATTCACTGACCCACCTGCAGCTGTTCCAAAATGCAGATTCCCAATCTCGGCCCTAGGGCTTCTCATTCATTAGGGTCTACTGAAGAGTCTTGAAATTTGCTCTTTTTTTTCTATTTTTATTTTATTTTATTTTATTTTATTTTATTTTTGAGACTGAGTGTCACTCTGTTACCCAGGCTGGAGTACAGTGGCGTGATCTTGGCTCACTGCAGCCTCCGCCTCCCAGGTTCAAGTGAATTTCCTGCTTCAGCCTCCCGAGTAGAGGGATTACAGGTGCCTGCCAACACACTTGGCTAATTTTTGTATTTTTGGTAGAGACAGGGTTTCACCACATTGTCCAGGCTGGTCTTGAACCCCTGACCTCAAGTGATCCATCCACCTCAGACTCACAAAGTGCTGGGATTACAGACTTGAGCCACCGTGCCCAGCCTATACCCATGTTTTAGATGAGCAAACTAACAGAGAATTGCCTTGCCAAAGGTTGTGTAGTAAAAAAGAGTAAGCTGTGGCTTGGCGCAGTGGCTCACACCTGTAATCCCAGCATTTTGGGAGGCCACAGTGGGCAGATCACTTGAGGTCAGGAGTTCAAGACCAGCCTGGCCAACACGGTAAAACCCCATCTCTACTAAAAATACAAAAAGTAGCCAGGCATGGTGGCAGGCGCCTGTAGTCCCAGCTACTCGGAAGGCTGAGGCAGGAGAATAGCTTGAACCCAGGAGGCAGAGGTTGCAGTGAGCCGAGATTGCACCACTGTACTCCAGCCTGGGCAACAGAGTGAGACTCAGTCTCAAAAAAATTTTAAAAAATTTGATCTTACAAAGGCAGAGAGTAGAATGGTGGAAAACAACAACCACAACAACACAAAAACAACA